>NC_000002.12:92879295-93087651 GCF_000001405.40 Homo sapiens
AGCAATGTCAGAAACTTTTTCATGATGTACCTACTCAGCTAACAGAGTTGAACCTTTCTTTTGAGAGAGCAGTTTTGAAACACTCTCTTTGTGGAATCTGCAAGTGGATATTTGTCTAGTTTTGAGGATTTCGTTGGAAACGGGATTACATATAAAAAGCAGACAGCAGCATTCCCAGAAACTTCTTTGTGATGTTTGCATTCAAGTCACAGAGTTGAACATTCCCTTTCATAGAGCAGGTTTGAAACACTCTTTTTGTAGTATCTGGATGTGGACATTTGGAGCGCTTTCAGGCCTATGGTGAAAAAGGAAATATCTTCCCCTGAAAACTAGACAGAAGCATTCTCAGAATCTTATTTGTGATGTGCGCCCTCAACTAACAGTGTAGAACTTTTCTTTTGATAGAGCTGTTTTGAAACACACTTTTTGTAAAATCTGCAAGAGGATATTTGGATAGCTTTGAGGATTTCGTTGGAAACGCGATTGTCTTCATATAAACTCTAGACAGTAGCATTCTCAGAAGCGTCATTGGGATGTTTCAATTGAAGTCACAGTGTTGAACAGTCCCTTTCATAGAGCAGGTTTGAAACACTCTTTTTGTAGTATCTGGATGTGGACATTTGGAGCGCTTTCAGGCCTATGGTTTAAAAGGAAATATCTTCCCCTGAAAACTAGACAGAAGCATTCTCAGAAACTTATTTGTGATGTGCGCCCTCAACTAACAGTGTTGAAGCTTTCTTTTGATAGAGCAGTTTTGAAACACTCTTTTTGTGGAATCTGCAAGTGGATATTTGTCTAGCTTTGAGGATTTCGTTGGAAACGGGATTACATATAAAAAGCAGACAGCAGCAATATCAGAAACTTTTTCATGATGTATCTACTCAGATAACAGAGTTGAACCTTTTTTTTTAGAGAGCAGTTTTGAAACACTCTTTTTGTGGAATCTGCAAGTGGATATTTGTCTAGCTTTGAGGATTTCGTTGGAAACGGGATTGTCTTCATATAAAATCTAGACAGAAGCATTCTCAGAAGCTTCATTGGGATGTTTCAACTGAAGTCACAGTGTTGAACAGTCCCTTTCATAGAGCAGGTTTGAAACACACTTTTTGTAGTATCTGGAAGTGGACATTTGGAGCGCTCTCAGGACTACGGTGAAAAAGGAAATATCTTCCAATAAAAGCTAGATAGAAGCAATGTCAGAAACTTTTTCATGATGTATCTACTCAGCTAACAGAGTTGAACCTTTCCTTTGAGAGAGCAGTTTTGAAACACTCTTTTTGTGGAATCTGCAAGTGGATATTTGTCTAGCTTTGAGGATTTCGTTGGAAACGGGATTACATATAAAAAGCAGACAGCAGCATTCCCAGAAACTTCTTTGTGATGTTTGCATTCAAGTCACAGAGTTGAACATTCCCTTTCATAGAGCAGGTTTGAAACACTCTTTTTGTAGTATCTGGATGTGGACATTTGCAGCGCTTTCAGGCCTAAGGTGAAAAAGGAAATATCTTCCCCTGAAAACTAGACAGAAGCATTCTCAGAATCTTATTTGTGATGTGCGCCCTCAACTAACAGTGTTGAAGCTTTCTTTTGATAGAGCAGTTTTGAAACACTCTTTTCGTAAAATCTGCAAGAGGATATTTTGATAGCTTTGAGGATTTCGTTGGAAACGGGATTGTCTTCATATAAACTCTACACAGAAGCATTCTCAGATGCTTCATTGGGATGTTTCAATTGAAGTCACAGTGTTGAACAGTCCCTTTCATAGAGCAGGTTTGAAACACTCTTTTTGTATTATCTGGATGTGGACATTTGGAGCGCTTTCATGCCTATGGTGAAAAAGGAAATATCTTCCCCTGAAAACTAGACAGAAGCATTCTCAGAAACTTATTTGTGATGTGCGCCCTCAACTAACAGTGTTGAACCTTTCTTTTGATAGAGCAGTTTTGAAACACTCTTTTTGTAATATCTGCAAGAGGATATTTGGATAGCTTTGAGGATTTCGTTGGAAACGGGATTACATATAAAAAGCAGACAGCAGCATTCTCAGTAAACTTATTTGTGATGTGCGCCCTCAACTAACAGTGTTGAACCTTTCTTTTGATAGAGCAGTTTTGAAACACTCTTTTTGTAATATCTGCAAGAGGATATTTGGATAGCTTTGAGGATTTCGTTGGAAACGGGATTGTCTTCATATAAACTCTAGACAGAAGCATTCTCAGAAGCTTCATTGGGATGTTTCAATTGAAGTCACAGTGTTGAACAGTCCCTTTCATAGAGCAGGTTTGAAACACTCTTTTTGTAGTATCTGGAAGTGGACATTTGGAGAGATCTCAGGAATAAAGTGACAAAGGAAATATCTTCCAATAAAAGCTAGATAGAAGCAATGTCAGAAACTTTTTCATGATGTATCTACTCAGCTAACAGAGTTGAACCTTTCTTTTGAGAGAGCAGTTTTGAAACACTCTTTTTGTGGAATCTGCAAGTGGATATTTGTCTAGATTTGTGGATTTCTTTGGAAACGGGAATACATATAAAAAGCAGTCAGCAGCATTCCCAGTAACTTCTTTCTGATGTTTGCATTCAAGTCACAGGAGTTGAACGTTCCCTTTCATAGAGCAGGTTTGAAACACTCTTTTTGAAGTATCTGGATGTGGACATTTGGAGCGCTTTCAGGCCTATGGTGAAAAAGGAAATATCTTCCCCTGAAAACTAGACAGAAGCATTCTCAGAAACTTATTTGTGATGTGCGCCCTCAACTAACAGTGTTGAACCTTTCTTTTGATAGAGCAGTTTTGAAACACTCTTTTTGTAATATCTGCAAGAGGATATTTGGATAGCTTTGAGGATTTCGTTGGAAACGGGATTGTCTTCATATAAACTCTAGACAGAAGCATTCTCAGAAGCTTCATTGGGATGTTTCAATTGAAGTCACAGTGTTGAACAGTCCCTTTCATAGAGCAGGTTTGAAACACTCTTTTTGTAGTATCTGGAAGTGGACATTTGGAGAGATCTCAGGAATACGGTGATAAAGGAAATATCTTCCAATAAAAGCTAGATAGAAACAATGTCAGAAACTTTTTCATGATGTATCTACTCAGCTAACAGAGTTAAACCTTTCTTTTGAGAGAGCAGTTTTGAAACACTCTTCTTGTGGAATCTGCAAGTGGATATTTGTCTAGCTTTGAGGATTTCGTTGGAAACGGGATTACATATAAAAAGCAGACAGCAGCATTCCCAGAAACTTCTTTGTGATGTTTGCATTCAAGTCACAGAGTTGAACATTCCCTTTTATAGAGCAGGTTTGAAACACTCTTTTTGTAGTATCTGGATGTGGACATTTGCAGCGCTTTGAGGCCTATGGTGAAAAAGGAAATATCTTCCCCTGAAAACTAGACAGAAGCATTCTCAGAAACTTATTTGTGATGTGCGCCCTCAACTAACAGTGTTGAAGCTTTCTTTTGATAGAGCAGTTTTGAAACACTCTTTTTGTAATATCTGCAAGAGGATATTTGGATAGCTTTGAGGATTTCTTTGGAAACGGGATTGTCTTCATATAAATTCTAGACAGAAGCATTCTCAGAAGCTTCATTGGGATGTTTCAATTGAAGTTGCAGTGTTGAACAGTCCCTTTCATAGAGCAGGTTTGAAACACTCTTTTTGTAGTATCTGGATGTGGACATTTGGAGCGCTTTCAGGCCTATGGTTTAAAAGGAAATATCTTCCCCTGAAAACTAGACAGAAGCATTCTCAGAAACTTATTTGTGATGTGCGCCCTCAACTAACAGTGTTGAAGCATTCTTTTGATAGAGCAGTTTTGAAACACTCTTTTTGTGGAATCTGCAAGTGGATATTTGTACTAGCTTTGAGGATTTCGTTGGAAACGGGATTACATATAAAAAGCAGACAGCAGCATTCTCAGAAACTTATTTGTGATGTGCGCCCTCAACTAACAGTGTTGAAGCTTTATTTTGATAGAGCAGTTTTGAAACACTCTTTTTGTAATATCTGCAAGAGAATATTTGGATAGCTTTGAGGATTTCGTTGGAAACGGGATTGTCTTCATATAAACTCTAGAAAGAAGCATTCCCAGAAGCTTCATTGGGATGTTTCAATTGAAGTCACAGTGTTGAACAGTTCCTTTCATAGAACAGGTTTGAAACACTCTTTTTGTAGTATCTGGAAGTGGACATTTGGAGCGCTCTCAGGACTATGGTGAAAAAGGAAATATCTTCCAATAAAAGCTACATAGAAGCAATGTCAGAAACTTTTTCATGATGTATCTACTCAGCTAACAGAGTTGAAACTTTCCTTTGAGAGAGCAGTTTTGAAACACTCTTTTTGTGGAATCTGCAAGTGGATATTTGTCTAGCTTTGAGGATTTCGTTGGAAACGGGATTACATATAAAAAGCAGACAGCAGCATTCCCAGTAACTTTTTTCTGATGTTTGCATTCAAGTCACAGAGTTGAACGTTCCCTTTCATAGAGCAGGTTTGAAACACTCTTTTTGAAGTATCTGGATGTGGACATTTGGAGCGCTTTCAGGCCTATGGTGAAAAAGGAAATATCTTCCCCTGAAAACTAGACAGAAGCATTCTCAGAAACTTATTTGTGATGTGCGCCCTCAACTAACAGTGTTGAACCTTTCTTTTGATAGAGCAGTTTTGAAACACTCTTTTTGTAATATCTGCAAGAGGATATTTGGATAGCTTTGAGGATTTCGTTGGAAACGGGATTGTCTTCATATAAACTCTAGACAGAAGCATTCTCAGAAGCTTCATTGGGATGTTTCAATTGAAGTCACAGTGTTGAACAGTCCCTTTCATAGAGCAGGTTTGAAACACTCTTATTGTAGTATCTGGAAGTGGACATTTGGAGAGATCTCAGGAATACGGTGATAAAGAAATATCTTCCAATAAAAGCTAGATAGAAGCAATGTCAGAAACTTTTTCATGATGTATCTACTCAGCTAACAGAGTTTAACCTTTCTTTTGAGAGAGCAGTTTTGAAACACTCTTTTTGTGGAATCTGCAAGTGGATATTTGTCTAGCTTTGAGGATTACGTTGGAAACGGGATTACATATAAAAAGCAGACAGCAGCATTCCCAGAAACTTCTTTGTGATGTTTGCATTCAAGTCACAGAGTTGAACATTCCCTTTCATAGAGCAGGTTTGAAACACTCTTTTTGTAGTATCTGGATGTGGACATTTGCAGCGCTTTCAGGCCTAAGGTGAAAAAGGAAATATCTTCCCCTGAAAACTAGACAGAAGCATTCTCAGAAACTTATTTGTGATGTGCGCCCTCAACTAACGGTGTTGAACCTTTCTTTTGATAGAGCAGTTTTGAAACACTCTTTTTGTAATATCTGCAAGAGGATATTTGGATAGCTTTGATGATTTCGTTGGAAACGGGATTGTCTTCATATAAACTCTAGACAGAAGCATTCTCAGAAGCTTCATTGGGATGTTTCAATTGAAGTCACAGTGTTGAACAGTCCCTTTCATAGAGCAGGTTTGAAACACTCTTTTTGTAGTATCTGGATGTGGAGATTTGGAGTGCTTTCAGGCCTATGGTTTAAAAGGAAATATCTTCCCCTGAAAACTGGACAGAAGCATTCTCAGAAACTTATTTGTGATGTGCGCCCTCAACTAACAGTGTTGAAGCATTCTTTTGATAGAGCAGTTTGAAACACTCTTTTTGTGGAATCTGCAAGTGGATATTTGTCTAGCTTTGAGGATTTCGTTGGAAACGGGATTACATATAAAAAGCAGACAGCAGCATTCTCAGAAACTTATTTGTGATGTGCGCCCTCAACTAACAGTGTTGAACCTTTGTTTTGATAGAGCAGTTTTGAAACACTCTTTTTGTAATATCTGCAAGAGGATATTTGGATAGCTTTGAGGATTTCTTTGGAAACGGGATTGTCTTCATATAAACTCTAGACAGAAGCATTCTCAGAAGCTTCATTGGGATGTTTCAATTGAAGTCACAGTGTTGAACAGTCCCTTTCATAGAGCAGGTTTGAAACACTCTTTTTGTAGTATCTGGAAGTGGACATTTGGAGAGATCTCAGGAATACGGTGATAAAGGAAATATCTTCCAATAAAAGCTAGATAGAAGCAATGTCAGAAACTTTTTCATGATGTATCTACTCAGCTAACAGAGTTGAACCTTCCTTTGAGAGAGCAGTTTTGAAACACTCTTTTTGTGGAATCTGCAAGTGGATATTTGTCTAGCTTTGAGGATTTCGTTGGAAACGGGTTACATATAAAAAGCAGACAGCAGCATTCCCAGAAACTTCTTTGTGTTGTTTGCATTCAAGTCACAGAGTTGAACATTCCCTTTCATAGAGCAGGTTTGAAACACTCTTTTTGTAGTATCTGGATGTGGACATTTGCAGCGCTTTCAGGCCTAACGTGAAAAAGGAAATATCTTCCCCTGAAAACTAGACAGAAGCATTCTCAGAAACTTATTTGTGATGTGCGCCCTCAACTAACAGTGTTGAAGCTTTCTTTTGATAGAGCAGTTTTGAAACACTCTTTTTGTGGAATCTGCAAGTGGATATTTGTCTAGCTTTGAGGATTTCGTTGGAAACGGGATTACATATAAAAAGCAGACAGCAGCATTCTCAGCAAACTTATTTGTGATGTGCGCCCTCAACTAACAGTGTGGAACTTTTCTTTTGATAGAGCAGTTTTGAAACACTCTTTTTGTAAAATCTGCAAGAGGATATTTGGATAGCTTTGAGGATTTCGTTGGAAACGGGATTGTCTTCATATAGAATCTAGACAGAAGCATTCTCAGAAGCTTCATTGGGATGTTTCAATTGAAGTCACAGTGTTGAACAGTCCCTTTCATAGAGCAGGTTTGAAACACTCTTTTTGTAGTATCTGGAAGTGGACATTTGGAGAGATCTCAGGAATACGGTGATAAAGGAAATATCTTCCAATAAAAGCTAGATAGAATCAATGTCAGAAACTTTTTCATGATGTATCTACTCAGCTAACAGAGTTGAACCTTTCTTTTGAGAGAGCAGTTTTGAAACACTCTTTTTGTGGAATCTGCAAGTGGATATTTGTCTAGCTTTGAGGATTTCGTTGGAAACGGGATTACATATAAAAAGCAGACAGCAGCATTCCCAGAAACTTCTTTGTGATGTTTGCATTCAAGTCACAGAGTTGAACATTCCCTTTCATAGAGCAGGTTTGAAACACTCTTTTTGTAGTATCTGGATGTGGACATTTGGAGCGCTTTCAGGCCTATGGTGAAAAAGGAAATATCTTCCCCTGAAAACTAGACAGAAGCATTCTCAGAAACTTATTTGTGATGTGCTCCCTCAACTAACAGTGTTGAACCTTTCTTTTGATAGAGCAGTTTTGAAACACTCTTTTTGTAATATCTGCAAGAGGATATTTGGATAGCTTTGAGGATTTCGTTGGATACGGGATTGTCTTCATATAAACTCTAGACAGAAGCATTCTCAGAAGCTTCATTGGGATGTTTCAATTGAAGTCACAGTGTTGAACAGTCCCTTTCATAGAGCAGGTTTGAAACACTCTTTTTGTAGTATCTGGATGTGGACATTTGGAGCGCTTTCAGGCCTATGGTGAAAAAGGAAATATCTTCCCCTGAAAACTAGACAGAAGCATTCTCAGAAACTTATTTGTGATGTGCGCCCTCAACTAACAGTGTTGAAGCTTTCTTTTGATAGAGCAGTTTTGAAACACTCTTTTTGTGGAATCTGCAAGTGGATATTTGTCTAGCTTTGAGGATTTCGTTGGAAACGGGATTACATATAAAAAGCAGACAGCTAAGCATTCTCCGAAACTTATTTGTGATGGGCGCCCTCAACTAACAGTGTTGAAGCTTTCTTTTGATAGAGCAGTTTTGAAACACTCTTTTTGTAATATCTGCAAGAGGATATTTGGATAGCTTTCAGGATTTCGTTGGAAACGGGATTGTCTTCATATAAACTCTAGACATAAGGATTCTGAGAAGCTTCATTGGGATGTTTCAATTGAAGTCACAGTGTTGAACAGTCCCTTTCATAGAGCAGGTTTGAAACACTCTTTTTGTAGCATCTGGAAGTGGACATTTGGAGCGCTCTCAGTACTACGGTGAAAAAGGAAATATCTTCCAATAAAAGCTAGATAGAAGCAATGTGAGAAACTTTTTCATGATGTATCTACTCAGCTAAAAGAGTTGAACCTTTCTTTTGAGAGAGCAGTTTTGAAACACTCTTTTTGTGGAATCTGTAAGTGGATATTTGTCTAGCTTTGAGGATTTCTTTGGAAACGGGATTACATATAAAAAGCAGACAGCAGCATTCTCAGAAACTTCTTTGTGATGTTTGCATTCAAGTCACAGAGTTGAACATTCCCTTTCATAGAGCAGGTTTGAAACACTCTTTTTGTAGTATCTGGATGTGGACATTTGAGCGCTCTCAGGCCTATGGTGAAAAAGGAAATATCTTCCCCTGAAAACTAGACAGAAGCATTCTCAGAAACTTATTTGTGATGTGCGCCCTCAACTAACAGTGTTGAACTTTTCTTTTGATAGAGCAGTTTTGAAACACTCTTTTTGTAAAATCTGCAAGAGGATATTTGGATAGCTTTGAGGATTTCTTTGGAAACGGGATTGTCTTCATATAAAATCTAGACAGAAGCATTCTCAGAAGCGTCATTGGGATGTTTGAATTGAAGTCACAGTGTTGAACAGTCCCTTTCATAGAGCAGGTTTGAAACACTCTTTTTGTAGTATCTGGATGTGGACATTTGGAGCGCTTTCAGGCCTATGGTTTAAAAGGAAATATCTTCCCCTGAAAACTAGACAGAAGCATTCTCAGAAACTTATTTGTGATGTGCGCCCTCAACTAACAGTGTTGAAGCTTTCTTTTGATAGAGCAGTTTTGAAACACTCTTTTTGTGGAATCTGCAAGTGGATATTTGTCTAGCTTTGAGGATTTCGTTGGAAACGGGATTACATATAAAAAGCAGACAGCAGCATTCTCAGAATCTTATTTGTGATGTGCGCCCTCAACTAACAGTGTTGAACCTTTCTTTTGATAGAGCAGTTTTGAAACACTCTTTTCGTAAAATCTGCAAGAGGATATTTTGATAGCTTTGAGGATTTCGTTGGAAACGGGATTGTCTTCATATCAACTCTAGACAGAAGCATTTTGAGAAGCTTCATTGGGATGTTTCAATTAAAGTCACAGTGTTGAACAGTCCCTTTCATAGAGCAGGTTTGAAACACTCTTTTTGTAGTATCTGGAAGTGGACATTTGGAGCGCTCTCAGGACTGCAGTGAAAAAGGAAATATCTTCCAATAAAAGCTAGATAGAAGCAATGTCAGAAACTTTTTCATGATGTATCTACTCAGCTAACAGAGTTAAACCTTTCTTTTGAGAGAACAGTTTTGAAACACTCTTTTTGTGGAATCTACAAGTGGATATTTGTCTAGCTTTGAGGATTTCGTTGGAAACGGGATTACATATAAAAAGCAGACAGCAGCATTCCCAGAAACTTCTTTGTGATGTTTGCATTCAAGTCACAGAGTTGAACATTCCCTTTCATAGAGGAGGCTTGAAACACTCTTTTTGTAGTATCTGGATGTGGACATTTGGAGCGCTTTCAGGCCTATGGTGAAAAAGGAAATATCTTCCCCTGAAAACTAGACAGAAGCATTCTCAGAAACTTATTTGTGATGTGCGCCCTCAACTAACAGTGTTGAAGCTTTCTTTTGATAGAGCAGTTTTGAAACACTCTTTTTGTAATATCTGCAAGAGGATATTTGGATAGCTTTGAGGATTTCGTTGGAAACGGGATTGTCTTCATATAAACTCTAGACAGAAGCATTCTCAGAAGCTTCATTGGGATGTTTCAATTGAAGTCACAGTGTTGAACAGTCCCTTTCATAGAGCAGGTTTGAAACACTCTTTTTGTAGTATCTGGAAGTGGACATTTGGAGAGATCTCAGGAATACGGTGAAAAAGGAAATATCTTCTCCCTGAAAACTAGACAGAAGCATTCTCAGAAACTTATTTGTGATGTGCGCCCTCAACTAACAGTGTTGAAGCATTCTTTTGATAGAGCAGTTTTGAAACACTCGTTTTGTGGAATCTGCAAGTGGATATTTGTCTAGCTTTGAGGATTTCGTTGGAAACGGGATTACATATAAAAAGCAGACAGCAGCATTCTCAGAAACTTATTTGTGATGTGCGCCCTCAACTAACAGTGTTGAAGCTTTCTTTTGATAGAGCAGTTTTGAAACACTCTTTTTGTAATATCTGCAAGAGGATATTTGGATAGCTTTGAGGATTTCGTTGGAAACGGGATTAATTATACAAAGCAGACAGCAGCATTCTCAGAAGCTTCATTGGGATGTTTCAATTGAAGTCACAGTGTTGAACAGTCCCTTTCATAGAGCAGGTTTGAAACACTCTTTTTGTAGTATCTGGAAGTGGACTTGTGGAGCGTTCTCAGGACTACAGTGAAAAAGGAAATATCTTCCAATAAAAGCTAGATAGAAGCAATGTCAGAAAATTTTTCATGATGTATCTGCTCAGCTAACAGAGTTGAACCTTTCTTTTGAGAGAGCAGTTTTGAAACATTCTTTTGGTGGAATCTGCAAGTGGATATTTGTCTAGCTTTGAGGATATCGTTGGAAACGGGATTACATATAAAAAGCAGACAGCAGCATTCCCAGTAACTTCTTTGTGATGTTTGCATTCAAGTCACAGAGTTGAACATTCCCTTTCATAGAGCAGGTTTGAAACACTCTTTTTGTAGTATCTGGATGTGGACATTTGGAGCGCTTTCAGGCCAATGGGGAAAAAGGAAATATCTTCCCCTGAAAACTAGACAGAAGCATTCTCAGAATCTTATTTGTGATGTGCGCCCTCAACTAACAGTGTTGAAGCTTTCTTTTGATAGAGCAGTTTTGAAACACTCTTTTTGTAAAATCTGCAAGAGGATATTTGGATAGCTTTGAGGATTTCGTTGGAAACGGGATTGTCTTCATATAAACTCTAGACAGAAGCATTCTCAGAAGCGTCATTGGGATGTTTCAATTGAAGTCACAGTGTTGAACAGTCCCTTTCATAGAGCAGGTTTGAAACACTCTTTTTGTAGTATCTGGATGTGGACATTTGGAGCGCTTTCAGGCCTATGGTTTAAAAGGAAATATCTTCCCTTGAAAACTAGACAGAAGCATTCCCAGAATCTTGTTTGTGATCTTTGCATTCAAGTCACAGAGTTGAACATTCCCTTTCAGAGAGCAGGTTTGAAACACTCTTTTTATAGTATCTGGATGTGGACATTTGGAGCGCTTTCAGGCCTGTGGTGAAAAAGGAAATATCTTCTCCTGAAAACTAGACAGAAGCATTCTCAGAATCTTATTTGTGATGTGCGCCCTCAACTAACAGTGTTGAAGCTTTCTTTTGATAGAGCAGTTTTGAAACACTCTTTTTGTAAAATCTGCAAGAGCATATTTGGATAGCTTTGAGAATTTCATTGGAAACGGGATTGTCTTCATATAAACTCTAGACAGAAGCATTCTCAGAAGCTTCATTGGGATGTTTCAATTGAAGTCACAGTGTTGAACAGTGCCTTTCATAGAGCAGGTTTGAAACACTCTTTTTTTAGTATCTGGAAGTGGACATTTGGAGCGCTCTCAGGACTACGGTGAAAAAGGAAATATCTTCCAATAAAAGCTACATAGAAGCAATGTCAGAAACTTTTTCATGATGTATCTACTCAGCTAACAGAGTTGAACCTTTCTTTTGAGAGAGCAGTTTTGAAACACTCTTTTTGTAAAATCTGCAAGAGGATATTTGGATAGCTTTGAGGATTTCGTTGGAAACGGGATTGTGTTCATATAAACTCTAGACAGAAGCATTCTCAGAAGCGTCATTGGGATGTTTCAATTGAAGTCACAGTGTTGAACAGTCCCTTTCATAGAGCAGGTTTGAAACACTCTTTTTGTAGTATCTGGATGTGGACATTTGGAGCGCTTTCAGGCCTATGGTTTAAAAGGAAATATCTTCCCTTGAAAACTAGACAGAAGCATTCTCAGAAACTTATTTGTGATGTGCGCCCTCAACTAACAGTGTTGAAGCATTCTTTTGATAGAGCAGTTTTGAAACACTCTTTTTGTGGAATCTGCAAGTGGATATTTGTCTAGCTTTGAGGATTTCGTTGGAAACGGGATTACATATAAAAAGCAGACAGCAGCATTCTCAGAATCTTATTTGTGATGTGCGCCCTCAACTAACAGTGTTGAAGCTTTCTTTTGATAGAGCAGTTTTGAAACACTCTTTTTGTAAAATCTGCAAGAGGATATTTGGATAGCTTTGAGGATTTCGTTGGAAACGGGATTCTCTTCATACAAAATCTAGACAGAAGCATTCTCAGAAGCTTCATTGGGATGTTTCAATTGAAGTAACAGTGTTGAACAGTCCCTTTCATAGAGCAGGTTTGAAACACTCTTTTTGTAGTATCTGGAAGTGGACGTTTGGAGAGTTCTCAGGAATACGGTGATAAAGGAAATATCTTCCAATAAAAGCTAGATAGAAGCAATGTCAGAAACTTTTTCATGATGTATCTACTCAGCTAACAGAGTTGAACCTTCCTTTGAGAGAGCAGTTTTGAAACACTCTTTTTGTGGAATCTGCAAGTGGATATTTGTCTAGCTTTGAGGATTTCGTTGGAAACGGGATTACATATAAAAAGCAGACAGCAGCATTCCCAGAAACTTCTTTGTGATGTTTGCATTCAAGTCACAGAGTTGAACATTCCCTTTCATAGAGCAGGTTTGAAACACTCTTTTTGTAGTATCTGGATGTGGACATTTGGAGTGCTTTCAAGCCTATGGTGAAAAAGGAAATATCTTCCCCTGAAAACTAGACAGAAGCATTCTCAGAAACTTATTTGTGATGTGCGCCCTCAACTAACAGTGTTGAACCTTTCTTTTGATAGAGCAGTTTTGAAACACTCTTTTTGTAAAATCTGCAAGAGGATATTTGGATAGCTTTGAGGATTTCGTTGGAAACGGGATTGTCTTCATATAAACTCTAGACAGAAGCATTCTCAGAAGCTTCATTGGGATGTTTCAATTGAAGTCACAGTGTTGAACAGTCCCTTTCATAGAGCAGGTTTGAAACACTCTTTTTGTAGTATCTGGAAGTGGACATTTGGAGAGATCTCAGGAATACGGTGATAAAGGAAATATCTTCCAATAAAAGCTAGATAGAAGCAATGTCAGAAACTTTTTCATGATGTATCTACTCAGCTAACAGAGTTGAACCTTTCTTTTGAGAGAGCAGTTTTGAAACACTCTTTTTGTGGAATCTGCAAGTGGATATTTGTCTAGCTTTGAGGATTTCGTTGGAAACGGGATTACATATAAAAAGCAGACTGCAGCGTTCCCAGAAACTTCTTTGTGATGTTTGCATTCAAGTCACAGAGTTGAACATTCCCTTTCATAGAGCAGGTTTGAAACACTTTTTTTGTAGTATCTGGTTGTGGACATTTGCAGCGCTTTCAGGCCTAAGGTGAAAAAGGAAATATCTTCCCCTGAAAACTAGACAGAAGCATTCTCAGGAAACTTATTTGTGATGTGCGCCCTCAACTAACAGTGTTGAAGCTTTCTTTTGATAGAGCAGTTTTGAAACACTCTTTTTGTAATATCTGCAACAGGATATTTGGATAGCTTTGAGGATTTCGTTGGAAACGGGATTGTCTTCATATAAACTCTAGACAGAAGCATTCTCAGAAGCGTCATTGGGATGTTTCAATTGAAGTCACAGTGTTGAACAGTCCCTTTCATAGAGCAGGTTTGAAACACTCTTTTTGTAGTATCTGGATGTGGACATTTGGAGCGCTTTCAGGCCTATGGTTTAAAAGGAAATATCTTCCCCTGAAAACTAGACAGAAGCATTCTCAGAAACTTATTTGTGATGTGCGCCCTCAACTAACAGTGTTGAAGCATTCTTTTGATAGAGCAGTTTTGAAACACTCTTTTTGTGGAATCTGCAAGTGGATATTTGTCTAGCTTTGAGGATTTCGTTGGAAACGGGATTACATATAAAAAGCAGACAGCAGTAGTCTCAGAAACTTATTTGTGATGTGCGCCCTCAACTAACAGTGTTGAAGCTTTCTTTTGATAGAGCAGTTTTGAAACACTCTTTTTGTAAAATCTGCAAGAGGATATTTGGATAGCTTTGAGGATTTCGTTTGAAACGGGATTGTCTTCATATAAAATCTAGACAGAAGCATTCTCAGAAGCTTCATTGGGATGATTCAATTGAAGTCACAGTGTTGAACAGTCCCTTTCATAGAGCATGTTTGAAACAATCTTTTTGTAGTATCTGGAAGTTGACATTTGGAGCGTTTTCAGGACTATGGTGAAAAAGGAAATATCTTCCAAATAAAGCTAGATAGAAGCAATGTCAGAAACTTTTTCATGATGTATCTACTCAGCTAACAGAGTTGAACCTTTCTTTTGAGAGAGCAGTTTTGAAACACTCTTTTTGTGGAATCTGGAAGTGGATATTTGTCTAGCTTTGAGGATTTCGTTGGAAACGGGATTACATATAAAAAGCAGACAGCAGCATTCCCAGAATCTTGTTTGTGATGTTTGCATTCAAGTCACAGAGTTGAACATTCCCTTTCAGAGAGCAGGTTTGAAACACTCTTTTTATAGTATCTGGATGTGGACATTTGGAGCGCTTTCAGGCCTATGTTGAAAAAGGAAATATCTTCCCCTGAAAACTAGACAGAAGCATTCTCAGAATCTTATTTGTGATGTGCTCCCTCAACTAACAGTCTTGAAGCTTTCTTTTGGTAGAGCAGTTTTGAAACACTCTTTTTGTAAAATCTGCAAGAGGATATTTGGATAGCTTTGAGGATTTCGTTGGAAACGGGATTGTCTTCATATAAACTCTAGACAGAAGCATTCTCAGAAGCTTCATTGGGATGTTTCAATTGAAGTCACAGTGTTGAACAGTCCCTTTCATAGAGCAGGTTTGAAACACTCTTTTTGTAGTATCTGGATGTGGACATTTCGAGCGCTTTCAGGCCTATGGTGAAAAAGGAAATATCTTCCCCTGAAAACTAGACAGAAGCATTCTCAGAAACTTATTTGTGATGTGCGCCCTCAACTAACAGTGTTGAAGCTTTCTTTTGATAGAGCAGTTTTGAAACACTCTTTTTGTGGAATCTGCAAGTGGATATTTGTCTAGCTTTGAGGATTTCGTTGGAAACGGGATTACATATAAAAAGCAGACAGCAGCATTCTCAGTAAACTTATTTGTGATGTGCGCCCTCAACTAACAGTGTTGAACCTTTCTTTTGATAGAGCAGTTTTGAAACACTCTTTTTGTAATATCTGCAAGAGGATATTTGGATAGCTTTGAGGATTTCGTTGGAAACGGGATTGTCTTCATATAAACTCTAGACAGAAGCATTCTCAGCAGCTTCTTTGGGATGTTTCAATTGAAGTCACAGTGTTGAACAGTCCCTTTCATAGAGCATGTTTGAAACACTCTTTTTGTAGTATCTGGAAGTGGACATTTGGAGCGTTCTCAGGACTACGGTGAAAAAGGAAATATCTTCCAAATAAAGCTAGATAGAAGCAATGTCAGAAACTTTTTCATGATGTATCTACTCAGCTAACAGAGTTGAACCTTTCCTTTGAGAGAGCAGTTTTGAAACACTCTTTTTGTGGAATCTGCAAGTGGATATTTGTCTAGCTTTGAGGATTTCGTTGGAAACGGGATTACATATAAAAAGCAGACAGCAGCATTCCCAGAAACTTCTTTGTGATGTTTGCATTCAAGTCACAGAGTTGAACATTCCCTTTTATAGAGCAGGTTTGAAACACTCTTTTTCTAGTATCTGGATGTGGACATTTGGAGCGCTTTCAGGCCTATGGTGAAAAAGGAAATATCTTCCCCTGAAAACCAGACAGAAGCATTCTCAGAAACTTATTTGTGATGTGCGCCCTCAACTAACAGTGTTGAACCTTTCTTTTGATAGAGCAGTTTTGAAACACTCTTTTTGTAATATCTGCAAGAGGATATTTGGATAGCTTTGAGGATTTCTTTGGAAACGGGATTGTCTTCATATAAACTCTAGACAGAAGCATTCTCAGAAGCTTCATTGGGATGTTTCAATTGAAGTCACAGTGTTGAACAGTCCCTTTCATAGAGCAGGTTTGAAACACTCTTTTTGTAGTATCTGGAAGTGGACATTTGGAGAGATCTCAGGAATACGGTGATAAAGGAAATATCTTCCAATAAAAGCTAGATAGAAGCAATGTCAGAAACTTTTTCATGATGTATCTACTCAGCTAACAGAGTTGAACCTTTCTTTTGAGAGAGCAGTTTTGAAACACTCTTTTTGTGGAATCTGCAAGTGGATATTTGTCTAGCTTTGAGGATTTCGTTGGAAACGGGATTACATATAAAAAGCAGACTGCAGCATTCCCAGAAACTTCTTTGTGACGTTTGCATTCAAGTCACAGAGTTGAACATTCCCTTTCATAGAGCAGGTTTGAAACACTCTTTTTGTAGTATCTGGATGTGGACATTTGGAGCGCTTTCAGGCCTATGGTGAAAAAGGAAATATCTTCCCCTGAAAACTAGACAGAAGCATTCTCAGAAACTTATTTGTGATGTGCGCCCTCAACTAACAGTGTTGAAGCTTTCTTTTGATAGAGCAGTTTTGAAACACTCTTTTTGTAATATCTGCAAGAGGATATTTGGATAGCTTTGAGGATTTCGTTGGAAACGGGATTGTCTTCATATAAACTCTAGACAGAAGCATTCTCAGAAGCCTCATTGGGATGTTTCAATTGAAGTCACAGTGTTGAACAGTCCCTTTCATAGAGCAGATTTGAAACACTCTTTTTGTAGTATCTGGATGTGGACATTTGGAGCGCTTTCAGGCCTATGGTTTAAAAGGAAATATCTTCCCCTGAAAACTAGACAGAAGCATTCTCTGAAACTTATTTGTGATGTGTGTACTCAACTAACAGAATTGAACCATCGTTTTGAAAGAGCAATTTTGAAACACTCTTTTTCTGGAATCTGCAAGTCGATATTTGTCTAGCATTGAGGATTTCGTTGGAAACGGGATTACAAATAAAAAGCAGACAGCAAGCATTCTCAGAATCTTATTTGTGATTAGCGCCCTCAACTAACAGTGTTGAAGCTTTCTTTTGATAGAGCAGTTTTGAAACACTCTTTTTGTAATATCTGCAAGAGGATATTTGGATAGCTTTGAGGATTTCGTTGGAAACGGGATTGTCTTCATATAAACTCTAGACAGAAGCATTCTCAGAAGCTTCATTGGGATGTTTCAATTGAAGTCACAGTGTTGAACAGTTCCTTTCATAGAACAGGTTTGAAACACTCTTTTTGTAGTATCTGGAAGTGGACATTTGGAGCGCTCTCAGGACTATGGTGAAAAAGGAAATATCTTCCAATAAAAGCTACATAGAAGCAAAGTCAGAAACTTTTTCATGATGTATCTACTCAGCTAACAGAGTTGAACCTTTCTTTTGAGAGAGCAGTTTTGAAACACTCTTTTTGTGGAATCTGCAAGTGGATATTTGTCTAGCTATGAGGATTTCGTTGGAAACGGGATTACATATAAAAAGCAGACAGCAGCATTCCCAGAAAATTCTTTGTGAAGTTTGCATTCAAGTCACAGAGTTGAACATTCCCTTTCATAGAGCAGGTTTGAAACACTCTTTTTGTAGTATCTGTATGTGGACATTTGGAGCGCTTTCAGGCCTATGGTGAAAAAGGAAATATCTTCCCCTGAAAACTAGACAGAAGCATTCTCAGAAACTTATTTGTGATGTGCGCCCTCAACTAACAGTGTTGAACCTTTCTTTTGATAGAGCAGTTTTGAAACACTCTTTTTGTAAAATCTGCAAGAGGATATTTGGATAGCTTTGAGGATTTCGTTGGAAACGGGATTGTCTTCATATAAACTCTAGACAGAAGCATTCTCAGAAGCTTCATTGGGATGTTTCAATTGAAGTCACAGTGTTGAACAGTCCCTTTCATAGAGCAGGTTTCAAACACTCTTTTTGTAGTATCTGGATGTGGACATTTGGAGCGCTTTCAGGCCTATGGTTTAAAAGGAAATATCTTCCCCTGAAAACTAGACAGAAGCATTCTCAGAAACTTATTTGTGATGTGCGCCCTCAACTAACAGTGTTGAAGCTTTCTTTTGACAGAGCAGTTTTGAAACAATCTTTTTATCTGCAAGTGGATATTTGTCTAGCTTTGAGGATTTCGTTGGAAACGGGATTACATATAAAAAGCAGACAGCAGCATTCCCAGAATCTTGTTTGTGATGTTTGCATTCAAGTCACATAGTTGAACATTCCCTTTCAGAGAGCAGGTTTGAAACACTCTTTTTATAGTATCTGGATGTGGACATTTGGAGCGCTTTCAGGCCTATGGTGAAAAAGGAAATATCTTCTCCTGAAAACTAGACAGAAGCATTCTCAGAAACTTATTTTTGATGTGCGCCCTCAACTAACAGTGTTGAAGCTTTCTTTTGATAGAGCAGTTTTGAAACACTCTTTTTGTAATATCTGCAAGAGGATATTTGGATAGCTTTGAGGATTTCGTTGGAAACGGGATTGTCTTCATATAAACTCTAGAAAGAAGCATTCTCAGAAGCTTCATTGGGATGTTTCAATTGAAGTCACAGTGTTGAACAGTCCCTTTCATAGAGCAGGTTTGAAACACTCTTTTTGTAGTATCTGGATGTGGACATTTGGAGCGCTTTCAGGCCTAAGGTGAAAAAGGAAATATCTTCCCCTGAAAACTAGACAGAAGCATTCTCAGAAACTTATTTGTGATGTGCGCCCTCAACTAACAGTGTTGAAGCATTCTTTTGATAGAGCAGTTTGAAACACTCTTTTTGTGGAATCTGCAAGTGGATATTTGTCTAGCTTTGAGGATTTCGTTGGAAACGGGATTACATATAAAAAGCAGACAGCAGCATTCTCAGAAACTTATTTGTGATGTGCGCCCTCAACTAACAGTGTTGAAACTTTCTTTTGATAGAGCAGTTTTGAAACACTCTTTTTGTAATATCTGCAAGAGGATATTTGGATAGCTTTGAGGATTTCGTTGGAAACGGGATTGTCTTCATATAAACTCTAGACAGAAGCATTCTCAGAAGCTTCATTGGGATGTTTCAATTGAAGTCACAGTGTTGAACAGTCCCTTTCATAGAGCAGGTTTGAAACACTCTTTTTGTAGTATCTGGAAGTGGACATTTGGAGCGCTCTCAGGACTGCGGTGAAAAAGGAAATATCTTCCAATAAAAGCTAGATAGAAGCAATGTCAGAAACTTTTTCATGATGTATCTACTCAGCTAACAGAGGTGAACATTTTTTTTGAGAGAGCAGTTTTGAAACACTCTTTTTGTGGAATCTGCAGGTGGATATTTGTCTAGCTTTCAGGATTTCGTTGGAAACGGGATTACATATAAAAAGCAGACAGCAGCATTCCCAGTAACTTCTTTGTGATGTTCGCATTCAAGTCACAGAGTTGAACATTCCCTTTCATAGAGCAGGTTTGAAACACTCTTTTTGTAGTATCTGGATGTGGACATTTGGAGCGCTTTCAGGCCTATGGTGAAAAAGGAAATATCTTCCCCAGAAAACTAGACAGAAGCATTCTCAGAATCTTATTTGTGATGTGCGCCCTCAACTAACAGTGTTGAAGCTTTCTTTTGATAGAGCAGTTTTGAAACACTCTTTTTGTAATATCTGCAAGAGGATATTTGGATAGCTTTGAGGATTTCGTTGGAAACGGGATTAATTATAAAAAGCAGACAGCAGCATTCTCAGAAACTTATTTGTGATGTGCGCCCTCAACTAACAGTGTTGAAGCTTTCTTTTGATAGAGCAGTTTTGAAACACTCTTTTTGTAATATCTGCAAGAGGATATTTGGATAGCTTTGAGGATTTCGTTGGAAACGGGATTAATTATACAAAGCAGACAGCAGCATTCTCAGAAGCTTCATTGGGATGTTTCAATTGAAGTCACAGTGTTGAACAGTCCCTTTCATAGAGCAGGTTTGAAACACTCTTTTTGTAGTATCTGGAAGTGGACATTTGGAGCGCTCTCAGGACTACAGTGATAAAGGAAATATCTTCCAATAAAAGCTAGATAGAAGCAATGTCAGAAACTTTTTCATGATGTATCTACTCAGCTAACAGAGTTGAACCTTTCTTTTGAGAGAGCAGTTTTGAAACACTCTTTTTGTGGAATCTGCAAGTGGATATTTGTCTAGCTTTGAGGATTTCGTTGGAAACGGGTTTACATATAAAAAGCAGACAGCAGCATTCCCAGAAACTTCTTTGTGATGTTTGCTTTCACGTCACAGAGTTGAACATTCCCTTTCATAGAGCAGGTTTGAAACACTCTTTTTGTAGTATCTGGATGTGGACATTTGGAGCGCTTTCAGGCCTATGGTGAAAAAGGAAATATCTTCCCCTGAAAACTAGACAGAAAGCATTCTCAGAAACTTATTTGTGATGTGCGCCCTCAACTAACAGTGTTGAACCTTTCTTTTGATAGAGCAGTTTTGAAACACTCTTTTTGTAATATCTGCAAGAGGATATTTGGATAGCTTTGAGGATTTCGTTGGAAACGGGATTGTCTTCATATAAACTCTAGACAGAAGCATTCTCAGAAGCTTCATTGGGATGTTTCAATTGAAGTCACAGTGTTGAACAGTCCCTTTCATAGAGCAGGTTTGAAACACTCTTTTTGTAGTATCTGGATGTGGACATTTGGAGCGCTTTCAGGCCTATGGTTTAAAAGGAAATATCTTCCCCTGAAAACTAGACAGAAGCATTCTCAGAAACTTATTTGTGATGTGCGCCGTCAACTAACAGTGTTGAAGCATTCTTTTGATAGAGCAGTTTTGAAACACTCGTTTTGTGGAATCTGCAAGTGGATATTTGTCTAGCTTTGAGGATTTCGTTGGAAACGGGATTACATATAAAAAGCAGACAGCTAAGCATTCTCCGAAACTTATTTGTGATGGGCGCCCTCAACTAACAGTGTTGAAGCTTTCTTTTGATAGAGCAGTTTTGAAACACTCTTTTTGTAATATCTGCAAGAGGATATTTGGATAGCTTTCAGGATTTCGTTGGAAACGGGATTGTCTTCATATAAACTCTAGACATAAGCATTCTCAGAAGCTTCATTGGGATGTTTCAATTGAAGTCACAGTGTTGAACAGTCCCTTTCATAGAGCAGGTTTGAAACACTCTTTTTGTAGTATCTGGAAGTGGACATTTGGAGCGCTCTCAAGACTACGGTGAAAAAGGAAATATCTTCCAATAAAAGCTAGATAGAAGCAATGTCAGAAACTTTTTCATGATGTATCTACTCAGCTAACAGAGTTGAACCTTTTTTTTGAGAGAGCAGTTTTGAAACACTCTTTTTGTTCGATCTGCAGGTGGATATTTGTCTAGGTTTGAGGATTTCGTTGGAAACGGGATTACATATAAAAAACAGACAGCAGCATTCCCAGAAACTTCTTTGTGATGTTTGCATTCAAGTCACAGAGTTGAACATTCCCTTTCGTAGAGCAGGTTTGAAACACTCTTTTTGTAGTATCTGGATGTGGACATTTGGAGCGCTCTCAGGCCTATGGTGAAAAAGGAAATATCTTCCCCTGGAAACTACACAGAAGCATTCTCAGAAACTTATTTGTGATGTGGGCCCTCAACTAACAATGTTGAACCTTTCTGTTGATAGAGTAGTTTTGAAACACTCTTCTTGTAAAATCTGCAAGAGGATATTTGGATAGCTTTGAGGATTTCGTTGGAAACGGGATTGTCTTCATATTAACCCTAGACAGTAGCATTCTCAGAAGCTTCATTGGGATGTTTCAATTGAAGTCACAGTGTTGAACAGTCCCTTTCATAGAGCAGGTTTGAAACACTCTTTTTGTAGTATCTGGATGTGGACATTTGGAGCGCTTTCAGGCCTATGGTGAAAAAGGAAATATCTTCCCCTGAAAACTAGACAGAAGCAATTCTCAGAATCTTATTTGTGATGTGCGCCATCAACTAACAGTGTTGAAGCTTTCTTTTGATAGAGCAGTTTTGAAACACTCTTTTTGTAAAATCTGCAAGAGGATATTTGGATAGCTTTGAGGATTTCGTTGGAAACGGGATTACATATAAAAAGCAGACAGCAGCATTCTCAGCAAACTTATTTGTGATGTGCGCCCTCAACTAACAGTGTGGAACTTTTCTTTTGATAGAGCAGTTTTGAAACACTCTTTTTGTAAAATCTGCAAGAGGATATTTGGATAGCTTTGAGGATTTCGTTGGAAACGGGATTGTCTTCATATAGAATCTAGACAGAAGCATTCTCAGAAGCTTCATTGGGATGTTTCAATTGAAGTCACAGTGTTGAACAGTCCCTTTCATAGAGCAGGTTTGAAACACTCTTTTTGTAGTATCTGGAAGTGGACATTTGGAGAGATCTCAGGAATACGGTGATAAAGGAAATATCTTCCAATAAAAGCTAGATAGAAGCAATGTCAGAAACTTTTTCATGATGTATCTACTCAGCTAACAGAGTTGAACCTTTCTTTTGAGAGAGCAGTTTTGAAACACTCTTTTTGTGGAATCTGGAAGTGGATATTTGTCTAGCTTTGAGGATTTCGTTGGAAACGGGATTACATATAAAAAGCAGACAGCAGCATTCCCAGAAACTTCTTTGTGATGTTTGCATTCAAGTCACAGAGTTGAACATTCCCTTTCATAGAGCAGGTTGGAAACACTCTTTTTGTAGTATCTGGATGTGGACATTTGGAGCGCTTTCAGGCCTATGGTGAAAAAGGAAATATCTTCCCCAGAAAACTAGACAGAAGCATTCTCAGAAACTTATTTGTGATGTGCGCCCTCAACTAACAGTGTTTAACCTTTCTTTTGATAGAGCAGTTTTGAAACACTCTTTTTGTAATATCTGCAAGAGGATATTTGGATAGCTTTGAGGATTTCGTTGGAAACGGGATTGTCTTCATATAAACTCTAGACAGAAGCATTCTCAGAAGCTTCATTGGGATGTTTCAATTGAAGTCACAGTGTTGAACAGTTCCTTTCATAGAACAGGTTTGAAACACTCTTTTTGTAGTATCTGGAAGTGGACATTTGGAGCGCTCTCAGGACTTCGGTGAAAAAGGAAATATCTTCCAATAAAAGCTACATAGAAGCAATGTCAGAAACTTTTTCATGATGTATCTACTCAGCTAACAGAGTTGAACCTTTCCTTTGAGAGAGCAGTTTTGAAACACTCTTTTTGTGGAATCTGCAAGTGGATATTTGTCTAGCTTTGAGGATTTCGTTGGAAACGGGATTACATATGAAAAGCAGACAGCAGTATTCCCAGAAACTTCTTTGTGATGTTTGCATTCACGTCACAGAGTTGAACATTCCCTTTCATAGAGCAGGTTTGAAACACTTTTTTTGTAGTATCTGGATGTGGACATTTGGAGCGCTTTCAGGCCTATGGTGAAAAAGGAAATATCTTCCAATAAAAGCTACATAGAAGCATTCTCAGAAACTTATTTGTGATGTGCGCCCTCAACTAACAGTGTTGAACCTTTCTTTTGATAGAGCAGTTTTGAAACACTCTTTTTGTAATATCTGCAAGAGGATATTTGGATAGCTTTGAGGATTTCGTTGGAAACGGGATTGTCTTCATATAAACTCTAGACAGAAGCATTCTCAGAAGCTTCATTGGGATGTTTCAATTGAAGTCACAGTGTTGAACAGTCCCTTTCATAGAGCAGGTTTGAAACACTCTTTTTGTAGTATCTGGAAGTGGACATTTGGAGCGCTCTCAGGACTACGGTGAAAAAGGAAATATCTTCCAATAAAAGCTACATAGAAGCAATGTCAGAAACTTTTTCATGATGTATCTACTCAGCTAACAGAGTTGAACCTTTCTTTTGAGAGAGCAGTTTTGAAACACTCTTTTTGTGGAATCTGCAAGTGGATATTTGTCTAGCATTGAGGATTTCGTTGGAAACGGGATTACATATAAAAAGCAGACAGCAGCATTCCCAGTAAACTTCTTTGTGATGTTTGCATTCAAGTCACAGAGTTGAACATTCCCTTTCATAGAGCAGGTCTTAAACACTCTTTTTGTAGTATCTGAATGTGGACATTTGGAGCGCTTTCAGGCCTATGGTGAAAAAGGAAATATCTTCCCCTGAAAACTAGACAGAAGCGTTCTCAGAAACTTATTTGTGATGTGCGCCCTCAACTAACAGTGTTAAACCTTTCTTTTGATAGAGTAGTTTTGAAACACTCTTTGTAAAATCTGCAAGAGGATATTTTGATAGCTTTGAGGATTTCTTTGGAAACGGGATTGTCTTCATATAAAATCTAGACAGAAGCATTCTCAGAAGCTTCATTGGGATGTTTCAATTGAAGTCACAGTGTTGAACAGTCCCTTTCATAGAGCAGGTTTGAAACACTCTTTTTGTAGTATCTGGATGTGGACATTTCGAGCGCTTTCAGGCCTATGGTGAAAAAGGAAATATCTTCCCCTGAAAACTAGACAGAAGCATTCTCAGAAACTTATTTGTGATGTGCGCCCTCAACTAACAGTGTTGAAGCATTCCTTTGATAGAGCAGTTTTGAAACACTCTTTTTGTGGAATCTGCAAGTGGATATTTGTCTATCTTTGAGGATTTCGTTGGAAACGGGATTATATATAAAAAGCAGACAGCAGCATTCCCAGTAACTTCTTTGTGATGTTTGCATTCAAGTCACAGAGTTGAACATTCCCTTTCATAGAGCAGGTTTGAAACACTCTTTTTGTAGGATCTGGATGTGGACATTTGGAGCGCTTTCAGGCCTATGGTGAAAAAGGAAATATCTTCTCCTGAAAACTAGACAGAAGCATTCTCAGAAACTTATTTGTGATGTGCGCCCTCAACTAACAGTGTTGAAGCTTTCTTTTGATAGAGCAGTTTTGAAACACTCTTTTTGTAATATCTGCAAGAGGATATTTGGATAGCTTTGAGGATTTCGTTGGAAACGGGATTGTCTTCATATAAACTCTAGACAGAAGCATTCTCAGAAGATTCATTGGGATGTTTCAATTGAAGTCACAGTGTTGAACAGTCCCTTTCATAGAGCAGGTTTGAAACACTCTTTTTGTAGTATCTGGAAGTGGACATTTGGAACGCTCTCAGGACTGCGGTGAAAAAGGAAATATCTTCCAATAAAAGCTAGATAGAAGCATTCTCAGAAACTTATTTGTGATGTGCGCCCTCAACTAACAGTGTTGAAGCATTCTTTTGATAGAGCAGTTTTGAAACACTCTTTTTGTGGAATCTGCAAGTGGATATTTGTCTAGCTTTGAGGATTTCGTTGGAAACGGGATTACATATAAAAAGCAGACAGCAGCATTCTCAGTAAACTTATTTGTGATGTGCGCCCTCAACTAACAGTGTTGAACCTTTCTTTTGATAGAGCAGTTTTGAAACACTCTTTTTGTAATATCTGCAAGAGGATATTTGGATAGCTTTGAGGATTTCGTTGGAAACGGGATTGTCTTCATATAAACTCTAGACAGAAGTATTCTCAGAAGCTTCATTGGGATGTTTCAATTGAAGTCACAGTGTTGAACAGTCCCTTTCATAGAGCAGGTTTGAAACACTCTTTTTGTAGTATCTGGAAGTTTACATTTGGAGCGCTCTCAGGACTACGGTGAAAAAGGAAATATCTTCCAATAAAAGCTAGATAGAAGCAATGTCAGAAACTTTTTCATGATGTATCTACTCAGCTAACAGAGTTGAAGCTTTCTTTTGAGAGAGCAGTTTTAAAACACTCTTTTTGTGGAATCTGGAAGTGGATATTTGTCTAGCTTTGAGGATTTCGTTGGAAACGGGATTACATATAAAAAGCAGACAGCAGCATTCCCAGTAACTTCTTTGTGATGTTTGCATTCAAGTCACAGAGTTGAACATTCCCTTTCATAGAGCAGGTTTGAAACACTCTTTTTGTAGTATCTGGATGTGGACATTTGGAGCGCTTTCAGGCCTATGGTGAAAAAGGAAATATCTTCCCCTGAAAACTAGACAGAAGCATTCGCAGAATCTTATTTGTGATGTGCGCCCTCAACTAACAGTGTTGAAGCTTTCTTTTGATAGAGCAGTTTTGAAACACTCTTTTTGTAAAATCTGCAAGAGGATATTTGGATAGCTTTGAGGATTTCGGTTGGAAACGGGATTGTCTTCATATAAACTCTAGACAGAAGCATTCCCAGAAACTTCTTTGTGATGTTTGCATTCAAGTCACAGAGTTGAACATTCCCTTTCATAGAGCAGGTTTGAAACACTCTTTTTGTAGTATCTGAATGTGGACATTTGGAGCGCTTTCAGGCGTATGGTGAAAAAGGAAATATCTTCCCCTGAAAACTAGACAGAAGCATTCTCAGAATCTTATTTGTGATGTGCGCCCTCAACTAACAGTGTTGAACCTTTCTTTTGATAGAGCAGTTTTGAAACACTCTTTTTGTAAAATCTGCAAGAGGATATTTGGATAGCTTTGAGGATTTCGTTGGAAACGGGATTACATATAAAAAGCAGACAGCAGCATTCTCAGAAACTTATTTGTAATGTGCGCCCTCAACTAACAGTGTTAAACCTTTCTTTTGATAGAGTAGTTTTGAAACACTCTTTTTGTAAAATCTGCAAGAGGATATTTGGATAGCTTTGAGGATTTCGTTGGAAACGGGATTGTCTTCATATAAACTCTAGACAGTAGCATTCTCAGAAGCTTCATTGGGATGTTTCAACTGAAGTCACAGTGTTGAACAGTCCCTTTCATAGAGCAGGTTTGAAACACTCTTTTTGTAGTATCTGGAAGTGGACATTTGGAGCGTTCTCAGGACTACGGTGAAAAAGGAAATATCTTCCAATAAAAGCTAGATAGAAGCAATGTGAGAAACTTTTTCATGATGTATCTACTCAGCTAACAGAGTTGAAACTTTCTTTTGAGAGAGCAGTTTTGAAACACTCTTTTTGTGGAATCTGCAAGTGGATATTTGTCTAGCTTTGAGGATTTCGTTGGAAACGGGATTACCTATAAAAAGCAGACAGCAGCATTCCCAGAATCTTGTTTGTGATGTTTGCATTCAAGTCACAGAGTTGAACATTCCCTTTCAGAGAGCAGGTTTGAAACACTCTTTTTATAGTATCTGGATGTGGACATTTGGAGCGCTTTCAGGCCTATGGTGAAAAAGGAAATATCTTCTCCTGAAAACTAGACAGAAGCATTCTCAGAATCTTATTTGTGATGTGCGCCCTCAACTAACAGTGTTGAAGCTTTCTTTTGATAGAGCAGTTTTGAAACACTCTTTTTGTAAAATCTGCAAGAGGATATTTGGATAGCTTTGAGGATTTCTTTGGAAACGGGATTGTCTTCATATAAACTCTAGACAGAAGCATTCTCAGAAGCTTCATTGGGATGTTTCAATTGAAGTCACAGTGTTGAACAGTCCCTTTCATAGAGCAGGTTTGAAACACTCTTTTTGTAGTATCTGGATGTGGACATTTGGAGCGCTTTCAGGCCTATGGTGAAAAAGGAAATATCTTCCCCTGAAAACTAGACAGAAGCATTCTCAGAAACTTATTTGTGATGTGCGCCCTCAACTAACAGTGTTGAAGCTTTCTTTTGATAGAGCAGTTTTGAAACACTCTTTTTGTGGAATCTGCAAGTGGATATTTGTCTAGCTTTGAGGATTTCGTTGGAAACGGGATTACATATAAAAAGCAGACAGCAGCATTCTCAGAAACTTATTTGTGATGTGCGCCCTCAACTAACAGTGTTGAAGCTTTCTTTTGATAGAGCAGTTTTGAAACACTCTTTTTGTAATATCTGCAAGAGGATATTTGGATAGCTTTGAGGATTTCGTTGGAAACGGGATTAATTATACAAAGCAGACAGCAGCATTCTCAGAAGCTTCATTTGGGATGTTTCAATTGAAGTCACAGTGTTGAACAGTCCCTTTCATAGAGCAGGTTTGAAACACTCTTTTTGTAGTATCTGGAAGTGGACATTTTGAGCGCTCTCAGGACTACGGTGAAAAAGGAAATATCTTCCAATAAAAGCTAGATAGAAGCAATGTCAGAAACTTTTTCATGATGTATCTACTCAGCTAACAGAGTTGAACCTTCCTTTGAGAGAGCAGTTTTGAAACACTCTTTTTGTGGAATCTGCAAGTGGATATTTGTCTAGCTTTGAGGATTTCGCTGGAAACCGGATTACATATAAAAAGCAGACAGCAGCATTCCCAGAAACTTCTTTGTGATGTTTGCATTCAAGTCACACAGTTGAACATTCCCTTTCATAGAGCAGGTTTGAAACACTCTTTTTGTAGTATCTGGATGTGGACATTTGGAGCGCTTTCAGCCCTATGGTGAAAAAGGAAATATCTTCTCCTGAAAACTAGACAGAAGCATTCTCAGAAACTTATTTGTGATGTGCGCCCTCAACTAACAGTGTTGAACCTTTCTTTTGATAGAGCAGTTTAGAAACACTCTTTTTGTAATATCTGCAAGAGGATATTTGGATAGCTTTGAGGATTTCTTTGGAAACGGGATTGTCTTCATATAAACTCTAGACAGAAGCATTCTCAGAAGCTTCATTGGGATGTTTCAATTGAAGTCACAGTGTTGAACAGTCCCTTTCATAGAGCAGGTTTGAAACACTCTTTTTGTAGTATCTGGAAGTGGACTTTTGGAGAGATCTCAGGAATACGGTGATAAAGGAAATATCTTCCAATAAAAGCTACATAGAAGCAATGGCAGAAACTTTTTCATGATGTATCTACTCAGCTAACAGAGTTGAACCTTTCTTTTGAGAGAGCAGTTTTGAAACACTCTTTTTGTGGAATCTGCAAGTGGATATTTGTCTAGCTTTGAGGATTTCGTTGGAAACGGGATTACATATAAAAAGCAGACAGCAGCATTCCCAGAAACTTCTTTGTGATGTTTGCATTCAAGTCACAGAGTTGAACATTCCCTTTCATAGAGCAGGTTTGAAACACTCTTTTTGTAGTATCTGGATGTGGACATTTGGAGCGCTTTCAGGCCTATGGTGAAAAAGGAAATATCTTCCCCTGAAAACTAGACAGAAGCATTCTCAGAAACTTATTTGTGATGTGCGCCCTCAACTAACAGTTTTGAAGCTTTCTTTTGATAGAGCAGTTTTGAAACACTCTTTTTGTAATATCTGCAAGAGGATGTTTGGATAGCTTTGAGGATTTCGTTGGAAACGGGATTGTCTTCATATAAACTCTAGACAGAAGCATTCTCAGAAGCTTCATTGGGATGTTTCAATTGAAGTCACAGTGTTGAACAGTCCCTTTCATAGAGCAGGTTTGAAACACTCTTTTTGTAGTATCTGGATGTGGACATTTGGAGCGCTTTCAGGCCTATGGTGAAAAAGGAAATATCTTCCCCTGAAAACTAGACAGAAGCATTCTCAGAAACTTATTTGTGATGTGCGCCTTCAACTAACAGTGTTGAAGCATTCTTTTGATAGAGCAGTTTTGAAACACTCTTTTTGTGGAATCTGCAAGTGGATATTTGTCTAGCTTTGAGGATTTCGTTGGAAACGGGATTACATATAAAAAGCAGACAGCAGCATTCTCAGAATCTTATTTGTGATGTGCGCCCTCAGCTAACAGTGTTGAAGCTTTCTTTTGATAGAGCAGTTTTGAAAAACTCTTTTCGTAAAATCTGCAAGAGGATAATTGGTAGCTTTTGAGGATTTCGTTGGAAACGGGATTGTCTTCATATAAACTCTAGACAGAAGCATTCTCAGAAGCTTCATTGGGATGTTTCAATTGAAGTCACAGTGTTGAACAGTCCCTTTCATAGAGCAGGTTTGAAACACTCTTTTTGTAGTATCTGGAAGTGGACATTTGGAGAGATCTCAGGAATACGGTGATAAAGGAAATATCTTCCAATAAAAGCTAGATAGAAGCAATGTCAGAAACTTTTTCATGATGTATCTACTCAGCTAACAGTGTTGAACCTTTCTTTTGAGAGAGCAGTTTTGAAACACTCTTTTTGTGGAATCTGCAAGTGGATATTTGTCTAGCTTTGAGGATTTCGTTGGAAACGGGATTACATATAAAAAGCAGACAGCAGCATTCCCAGAAACTTCTTTGTGATGTTTGCATTCAAGTCACAGAGTTGAACATTCCCTTTCATAGAGCAGGTTTGAAACACTCTTTTTGTATTATCTGGATGTGGACATTTGCAGCGCTTTCAGGCATAAGGTGAAAAAGGAAATATCTTCCCCTGAAAACTAGACAGAAGCATTCTCAGAAACTTATTTGTGATGTGCGCCCTCAACTAACAGTGTTGAAGCTTTCTTTTGATAGAGCAGTTTTGAAACACTCTTTTTGTAATATCTGCAAGAGGATATTTGGATAGCTTTGAGGATTTCGTTGGAAACGGGATTGTCTTCATATAAACTCTAGACAGAAGCATTCCCAGAAGCTTCATTGGGATGTTTCAATTGAAGTCACAGTGTTGAACAGTTCCTTTCATAGAACAGGTTTGAAACACTCTTTTTGTAGTATCTGGAAGTGGACATTTGGAGCGCTCTCAGGACTAGGGTGAAAAAGGAAATATCTTCCAATAAAAGCTAGATAGAAGCAATGTCAGAAACTTTTTCATGATGTATCTACTCAGCTAACAGAGTTGAACCTTTCTTTTGAGAGAGCAGTTTTGAAACACTCTTTTTGTGTAATCTGAAAGTGGATATTTGTCTAGCTTTGAGGATTTCGTTGGAAACGGGATTACATATAAAAAGCAGACAGCAGCATTCCCAGAATCTTGTTTGTCATGTTTGCATTCAAGTCACAGAGTTGAACATTCCCTTTCAGAGAGCAGGTTTGAAACACTCTTTTTATAGTATCTGGATGTGGACATTTGGAGCGCTTTCAGGCCTATGGTGAAAAAGGAAATATCTTCTCCTGAAAACTAGACAGAAGCATTCTCAGAAACTTATTTGTGATGTGCGCCCTCAACTAACAGTGTTGAAGCTTTCTTTTGATAGAGCAGTTTTGAAACACTCTTTTTGTAATATCTGCAAGAGGATATTTGGATAGCTTTGAGGATTTCGTTGGAAACGGGATTGTCTTCATATAAACTCTAGGCAGAAGCATTCTCAGAAGCTTCATTGGGATGTTTCAATTGAAGTCACAGTGTTGAACAGTTCCTTTCATAGAGCAGGTTTGAAACACTCTTTTTGTAGTATCTGGAAGTGGACATTTGGAGCGCTCTCAGGACTACGGTGAAAAAGGAAATATCTTCCAATAAAAGCTACATAGAAGCAATGTCAGAAACTTTTTCATGATGTATCTACTCAGCTAGCAGAGTTGAACCATTCTTTTGAGAGAGCCGTTTTGAAACACTCTTTTTGTTCGATCTGCAGGTGGATATTTGTCTAGCTTTGAGGATATCGTTGGAAACGGGATTACATATAAAAAGCAGACAGCAGCATTCCCAGAAACTTCTTTGTGATGTTTGCATTCAAGTCACAGAGTTGAACATTCCCTTTCATAGAGCAGGTTTGAAACACTCTTTTTGTAGTATCTGGATGTGGACATTTGGAGCGCTTTCAGGCCTATGGTGAAAAAGGAAATATCTTCCCCTGAAAACTAGACAGAAGCATTCTCAGAATCTTATTTGTGATGTGCGCCCTCAACTAACAGTGTTGAAGCTTTCTTTTGATAGAGCAGTTTTGAAACACTCTTTTTGTAAAATCTGCAAGAGGATATTTGGATAGCTTTGAGGATTTCGTTGGAAACGTGATTGTCTTCATATAAACTCTAGACAGAAGCATTCTCAGAAGCTTCATTGGGATGTTTCAATTGAAGTCACAGTGTTGAACAGTCCCTTTCATAGAGCAGGTTTGAAACACTCTTTTTGTAGTATCTGGATGTGGACATTTGGAGCGCTTTCAGGCCTATGGTGAAAAAGGAAATATCTTCCCCTGAAAACTAGACAGAAGCATTCTCAGAATCTTATTTGTGATGTGCGCCCTCAACTAACAGTGTTGAAGCTTTCTTTTGATAGAGCAGTTTTGAAACGCTCTTTTTGTAAAATCTGCAAGAGGATATTTGGATAGCTTTGAGGATTTCGTTGGAAACGGGATTACATATAAAAAGCAGACAGCAAGCATTCTCAGCAAACTTATTTGTGATGTGCGCCCTCAACTAACAGTGTGGAACTTTTCTTTTGATAGAGCAGTTTTGAAACACTCTTTTTGTAAAATCTGCAAGAGGATATTTGGATAGCTTTGAGGATTTCGTTGGAAACGGGATTGTCTTCATATAGAATCTAGACAGAATCATTCTCAGAAGCTTCATTGGGATGTTTCAATTGAAGTCACAGTGTTGAACAGTCCCTTTCATAGAGCAGGTTTGAAACACTCTTTTTGTAGCATCTGGAAGTGGACATTTGGAGCGTTCTCAGGACTACGGTGAAAAAGGAAATATCTTCCAATAAAAGCTAGATAGAAGCAATGTCAGAAACTTTTTCATGATGTATCTACTCAGCTAACAGAGTTGAACCTTTCTTTTGAGAGAGCAGTTTTGAAACACTCTTTTCGTGGAATCTGCAAGTGGATATTTGTCTAGCTTTGAGGATTTCGTTGGAAACGGGATTACATATAAAAACCAGACAGCAGCATTCCCAGAATCTTCTTTGTGATGTTTGCATTCAAGTCACAGAGTTCAACATTCCCTTTCATAGAGCAGGTTTGAAACACTCTTTTTGTAGTATCTGGATGTGGACATTTGGAGCGCTTTCAGGCCTATGGTGAAAAAGGAAATATCTTCCCCTGAAAACTAGACAGAAGCATTCTCAGAAACTTATTTGTGATGTGCGCCCTCAACTAACAGTGTTGAACCTTTCTTTTGATAGAGCAGTTTTGATACACTCTTTTTGTAAAATCCGCAAGAGGATATTTGGATAGCTTTGAGGATTTCGTTGGAAACGGGATTGTCTTCATATAGAATCTAGACAGAATCATTCTCAGAAGCTTCATTGGGATGTTTCAATTGAAGTCACAGTGTTGAACAGTCCCTTTCATAGAGCAGATTTGAAACACTCTTTTTGTAGTATCTGGAAGTGGACATTTGGAGCGTTCTCAGGACTACAGTGAAAAAGGAAATATCTTCCAATAAAAGCTAGATAGAAGCAATGTCAGAAAATTTTTCATGATGTATCTACTCAGCTAACAGGGTTGAACCTTTCTTTTGAGAGAGCAGTTTTGAAACACTCTTTTTGTGGAATCTGCAAGTGGATATTTGTCTAGCTTTGAGGATTGCGTTGGAAACATGATTACATATAAAAAGCAGACAGCAGCATTCCCAGAAACTTCTTTGTGATGTTTGCATTCAAGTCACAGAGTTGAACATTCCCTTTCATAGAGCAGGTTTGAAACACTCTTTTTGTAGTATCTGGATGTGGACATTTGGAGCGCTTTCAGGCCTATGGTGAAAAAGGAAATATCTTCCCCTGAAAACTAGACAGAAGCATTCTCAGAAACTTATTTGTGATGTGCGCCCTCAACTAACAGTGTTGAAGCTTTCTTTTGATAGAGCCGTTTTGAAACACTCTTTTTGTAATATCTGCAAGAGGATATTTGGATAGCTTTGAGGATTTCGTTGGAAATGGGATTGTCTTCATATAAACTCTAGACAGAAGCATTCTCAGAAGCTTCATCGGGATGTTTCAATTGAAGTCACAGTGTTGAACAGTTCCTTTCGTAGAACAGGTTTGAAACACTCTTTTTGTAGTATCTGGAAGTGGACATTTCGAGCGCTCTCAGGAATACGGTGATAAAGGAAATATCTTCCAATAAAAGCTAGATAGAAGCAATGTCAGAAACTTTTTCATGATGTATCTACTCAGCTAACAGAGTTGAACCTTTCTTTTGAGAGAGCAGTTTTGAAACACTCTTTTTGTGGAATCTGCAAGTGGATATTTGTCTAGCTTTGAGGATTTCGTTGGAAACGGGATTACATATAAAAAGCAGACAGCAGCATTCCCAGAAACTTCTTTGTGATGTTTGCATTCAAGTCACAGACTTGAACATTCCCTTTCATAGAGCAGGTTTGAAACACTCTTTTTGTAGTATCTGTATGTGGACATTTGGAGCGCTTTCAGGCGTATGGTGAAAAAGGAAATTTCTTCCCCTGAAAACTAGACAGAAGCATTCTCAGAATCTTATTTGTGATGTGCGCCCTCAACTAACAGTGTTGAAGCTTTCTTTTGATAGAGCAGTTTTGAAACACTCTTTTTGTAAAATCTGCAAGAGGATATTTGGATAGCTTTGAGGATTTCATTGGAAACGGGATTGTCTACAAATAAACTCTAGACAGAAGCATTCTCAGAAGCTTCATTGGGATGTTTCAATTGAAGTCACAGTGTTGAACAGTCCCTTTCATAGAGCAGGTTTGAAACACTCTTTTTGTAGTATCTGGATGTGGACATTTCGAGCGCTTTCAGGCCTATGGTGAAAAAGGAAATATCTTCCCCTGAAAACTAGACAGAAGCATTCTCAGTAAACTTATTTGTGATGTGCGCCCTCAACTAACAGTGTTGAAGCATTCTTTTGATAGAGCAGTTTTGAAACACTCTTTTTGTGGAATCTGCAAGTGGATATTTGTCTAGCTTTGAGGATTTCGTTGGAAACGGGATTACATATAAAAAGCAGACAGCAGCATTCTCAGAATCTTATTTGTGATGTGTGCCCTCAACTAACAGTGTTGAAGCTTTCTTTTGATAGAGCAGTTTTGAAACACTCTTTTTGTAAAATCTGCAAGAGGATATTTGGATAGCTTTGAGGATTTCGTTGGAAACGGGATTGTCTTCATAGAAACTCTAGACAGAAGCATTCTCAGAAGCTTCATTGGGATGTTTCAATTGAAGTCACAGTGTTGAACAGTCCCTTTCATAGAGCAGGTTTGAAACACTCTTTTTGTAGTATCTGGAAGTGCACATTTGGAGCGCTCTCAGGACTGCGGTGAAAAAGGAAATATCTTCCAATAAAAGCTACATAGAAACAATGTCAGAAACTTTTTCATGATGTATCTACTCAGCTAACAGAGTTGAACCTTTCTTTTGAGAGAGCAGTTTTGAAACACTCTTTTTGTGGAATCTGCAAGTGGATATTTGTCTAGCTTTGAGGATTTCGTTGGAAACGGGATTACATATAAAAAGCAGACAGCAGCATTCCCAGAAACTTCTTTGTGATGTTTGCATTCAAGTCACAGAGTTGAACATTCCCTTTCATAGAGCAGGTTTGAAACACTCTTTTTGTAGTATCTGGATGTGGACATTTGGAGCGCTCTCAGGCCTATGGTGAAAAAGGAAATATCTTCCCCTGCAAACTAGACAGAAGCATTCTCAGAAACTTATTTGTGATGTGCGCCCTCAAATAACAATGTTGAACCTTTCTGTTGATAGAGTAGTTTTGAAACACCCTTTTTGTAAAATCTGCAAGAGGATATTTGGATAGCTTTGAGGATTTCGTTTGAAACGGGATTGTCTTCATATTAACCCTAGACAGTAGCATTCTCAGAAGGTTCATTGGGATGTTTCAATTGAAGTCACAGTGTTGAACAGTCACTTTCATGGAGCAGGTTTGAAACACTCTTTTTGTAGCATCTGGAAGTGGACATTTGGAGCGCTCTCAGGACTACGGTGAAAAAGGAAATATCTTCCAATAAAAGCTAGATAGAAGCAATGTCAGAAACTTTTTCATGATGTATCTACTCAGCTAACAGAGTTGAACCTTTCCTTTGAGAGAGCAGTTTTGAAACACTCTTTTTGTGGAATCTGCAAGTGGATATTTGTCTAGCTTTGAGGATTTCGTTGGAAACGGGATTACATATAAAAAGCAGACAGCAGCATTCCCAGAAACTTCTTTGTGATGTTTGCATTCAAGTCACAGAGTTAAACATTCCCTTTCATAGAGCAGGTTTGAAACACTCTTTTTGTAGTATCTGGATGTGGACATTTGGAGCGCTTTCAGGCCTATGGTGAAAAAGGAAATATCTTCCCCTGAAAACTAGACAGAAGAATTCTCAGAATCTTATTTGTGATGTGCGCCCTCAACTAACAGTGTTGAAGCTTTCTTTTGATAGAGCAGTTTTGAAACACTCTTTTTGTAAAATCTGCAAGAGGATATTTGGATAGCTTTGAGGATTTCGTTGGAAACGGGATTGTCTTCATATAAACTCTACACAGAAGCATTCTCAGAAGCTTCATTGGGATGTTTCAATTGAAGTCACAGTGTTGAACAGTCCCTTTCATAGAGCAGGTTTGAAACACTCTTTTTGTAGTATCTGGATGTGGACATTTGGAGTGCTTTCAGGCCTATGGTTTAAAAGGAAATATCTTCCCCTGAAAACTGGACAGAAGCATTCTCAGAAACTTATTTGTGATGTGCGCCCTCAACTAACAGTGTTGAAGCTTTCTTTTGATAGAGCAGTTTTGAAACACTCTTTTTGTGGAATCTGCACGTGGATATTTCTCTAGCTTTGAGGATTTCGTTGGAAACGGGATTACATATAAAAAGCAGACAGCAGCATTCTCAGAAACTTATTTGTGATGTGCGCCCTCAACTAACAGTGTTGAAGCTTTATTTTGATAGAGCAGTTTTGAAACACTCTTTTTGTAATATCTGCAAGAGAATATTTGGATAGCTTTGAGGATTTCGTTGGAAACGGGATTGTCTTCATATAAACTCTAGAAAGAAGCATTCTCAGAAATTTCTTTGGGATGTTTCAATTGAAGTCACAGTGTTGAACATTCCCTTTGTTAGAGCAGGTTTGAAACACTCTTCTTGTAGTATCTGGAAGTGGACATTTGGAGCGCTCTCAGGACTACCGTGAAAAAGGAAATATCTTCCAATAAAAGCTAGATAGAAGCAATGTCAGAAAATTTTTCATGATGTATCTACTCAGCTAACAGAGTTGAACCTTTCTTTTGAGAGAGCAGTTTTGAAACACTCTTTTTGTGGAATCTGCAAGTGGATATTTGTCTAGCTTTGGGGATTGTGATGGAAACGTGATTACATATAAAAAGCAGACAGCAGCATTCCCAGAAACATCTTTGTGATATTTGCATTCAAGTCACAGAGTTGGACATTCCCTTTCATAGAGCAGGTTTGAAACACTCTTTTTGTAGTATCTGGATGTGGACATTTGGAGCGCTTTCAGGCCTATGGTGAAAAAGGAAATATCTTCCCCTGAAAACTAGACAGAAGCATTCTCAGAAACTTATTTGTGATGTGCGCCCTCAACTAACAGTGTTGAAGCTTTCTTTTGATAGAGCAGTTTTGAAACACTCTTTTTGTAAAATCTGCAAGAGGATATTTGGATAGCTTTGAGGATTTCGTTGGAAACGGGATTGTCTTCATATACAATCTAGACAGAAGCATTCCCAGAAACTTCTTTGTGATGTTTGCATTCAAGTGTCAGAGTTGAAGATTCCCTTTCATAGAGCAGGTTTGAAACACTCTTTTTGTAGTATCTGGAATTGGACATTTGGAGAGATCTCAGGAATACGGTGATAAAGGAAATATCTTCCAATAAAAGCTAGATAGAAGCAATGTCAGAAACTTTTTCATGATGTATCTACTCAGCTAACAGAGTTGAAACTTTCTTTTGAGAGAGCAGTTTTGAAACACTCTTTTTGTGGAATCTGCAACTGGATATTTGTCTAGCTTTGAGGATTTCGTTGGAAACGGGATTACATATAAAAAGCAGACAGCAGCATTCCCAGAAATTTCTTTGTGATGTTTGCATTCAAGTCACAGAGTTGAACATTCCCTTTCATAGAGCAGGTTTGAAACACTCTTTTTGTAGTATCTGGATGTGGACATTTGGAGCGCTTTCAGGCCTATGGTGAAAAAGGAAATATCTTCCCCTGAAAACTAGACAGAAGCATTCTCAGAATCTTTTTTGTGATGTGCGCCCTCAACTAACAGTGTTGAACCTTTCTTTTGATAGAGCAGTTTTGAAACACTCTTTTTGTAAAATCTGCAAGAGGATATTTGGATAGCTTTGAGGATTTCGTTGGAAACGGGATTGTCTTCATATAAACTCTAGACAGAAAGCATTCTCAGAAGCTTCATTGGGATGTTTCAATTGAAGTCACAGTGTTGAACAGTCCCTTTCATAGAGCAGGTTTGAAACACTCTTTTTGTAGTATCTGGATGTGGACATTTGGAGCGCTTTCAGGCCTATGGTGAAAAAGGAAATATCTTCCCCTGAAAACTAGACAGAAGCATTCTCAGAAACTTATTTGTGATGTGCCCCCTCAACTAACAGTGTTGAAGCTTTCTTTTGATAGAGCAGTTTTGAAACACTCTTTTTGTGGAATCTGCAAGTGGATATTTGTCTAGCTTTGAGGATTTCGTTGGAAACGGGATTACATATAAAAAGCAGACAGCAGCATTCTCAGAAACTTATTTGTGATGTGCGCCCTCAACTAACAGTGTTGAAGCTTTCTTTTGATAGAGCAGTTTTGAAACACTCTTTTTGTAATATCTGCAAGAGGATATTTGGATAGCTTTGAGGATTTCGTTGGAAACGGGATTAATTATACAAAGCAGACAGCAGCATTCTCAGAAGCTTCATTGGGATGTTTCAACTGAAGTCACAGTGTTGAACAGTCCCTTTCATATAGCAGGTTTGAAACACTCTTTTTGTAGTATCTGGAAGTGGACACTTGGAGCGTTCTCAGGACTACGGTGAAAAAGGAAATATCTTCCAATAAAAGCTAGATAGAAGCAATGTCAGAAAATTTTTCATGATGTATCTACTCAGCTAACAGAGTTGAATCTTTCATTTGAGAGAACCGTTTTGAAACACTCATTTTGTGGAATCTGCAAGTGGATATTTGTCTAGCTTTGAGGATTTCGTTGGAAACGGGATTACATATAAAAAGCAGACAGTAGCATTCCCAGAAACTTCTTTGTGATGTTTGTATTCAAGTCAAAGAGTTGAACATTCCCTTTCATAGAGCAGGTTTGAAACGCGCTTTTTGTAATATCTGGATTTGGACATTTGGAGCGCTTTCAGGCCTATGGTGAAAAAGGAAATATCTTCCACTGAAAACTAGACAGAAGCATTCTCAGAATCTTATTTGTGATGTGCGCCCTCAACTAACAGAGTTGAAGCTTTCTTTTGATAGAGCAGTTTTGAAACACTCTTTTTGTAAAATCTGCAAGAGGATATTTGGATAGCTTTGAGGATTTCGTTGGAAACGGGATTGTCTTCATATAAACTCTAGACAGAAGCATTCTCAGAAGCGTCATTGGGATGTTTCAATTGAAGTCACAGTGTTGAACATTCCCTTTCATAGAGCAGGTTTGAAACACTCTTTTTGTAGTATCTGGATGTGGACATTTGGAGCGCTTTCAGGCCTATGGTTTAAAAGGAAATATCTTCCCCTGAAAACTAGACAGAAGCATTCTCAGAAACTTATTTGTGATGTGCGCCTTCAACTAACAGTGTTGAAGCATTCTTTTGATAGAGCAGTTTTGAAACACTCTTTTTGTGGAATCTGCAAGTGGATATTTGTCTAGCTTTGAGGATTTCGTTGGAAACGGGATTACATATAAAAAGCAGACAGCAGCATTCTCAGAAACTTATTTGTGATGTGCGCCCTCAACTAACAGTGTTGAAGCTTTCTTTTGATAGAGCAGTTTTGAAACACTCTTTTTGTAATATCTGCAAGAGGATATTTGGATAGCTTTGAGGATTTCGTTGGAAACGGGATTAATTATACAAAGCAGACAGCATCATTCTCAGAAGCTTCATTGGGATGTTTCAATTGAAGTCACAGTGTTGAACAGTCCCTTTCATAGAGCAGATTTGAAACACTCTTTTTGTAGTATCTGGAAGTGGACATTTGGAGCGTTCTCAGGACTACCGTGAAAAAGGAAATATCTTCCAATAAAAGCTAGATAGAAGCAATGTCAGAAAATTTTTCATGAGGTATCTACTCAGCTAACAGAATTGAACCTTTCTTTTGAGAGAGCAGTTTTGAAACACTCTTTTTGTGGAATCTGCAGGTGGATATTTGTCTAGCTTTGAGGATTTCGTTGGAAACGGGATTACATATAAAAAGCAGACAGCAGCATTCCCAGAAACTTCTTTGTGATATTTACATTCAAGTCACAGAGTTGAACATTCCCTTTCATAGAGCAGGTTTGAAACACTCTTTTTGTAGTATCTGGATGTGGACATTTGGAGCGCTTTCAGGCCTATGGTGAAAACGGAAATATCTTCCCCTGAAAACTAGACAGAAGCATTCTCAGAAACTTATTTGTGATGTGCGCCCTCAACTAACAGTGTTGAAGCTTTCTTTTGATAGAGCAGTTTTGAAACACTCTTTTTGTAATATCTGCAAGAGGATATTTGGATAGCTTTCAGGATTTTCGTTGGAAACGGGATTGTCTTCATATAAACTCTAGACAGAAGTATTCTCAGAAAGCTTCATTGGGATGTTTCAATTGAAGTCACAGTGTTGAACAGTCCCTTTCATAGAGCAGGTTTGAAACACTCTTTTTGTAGTATCCGGATGTGGACATTTGGAGCGCTTTCAGGCCTATGGTGAAAAAGGAAATATCTTCCCCTGAAAACTAGACAGAAGCATTCTCAGAAACTTATTTGTGATGTGCGCCCTCAACTAACAGTGTTGAAGCTTTCTTTTGATAGAGCAGTTTTGAAACACTCTTTTTGTGGAATCTGCAAGTGGATGTTTGTCTAGCTTTGAGGATTTCGTTGGAAACGGGATTACATATAAAAAGCAGACAGCAGCATTCTCAGAAACTTATTTGTGATGTGCGCCCTCAACTAACAGTGTTGAAGCTTTCTTTTGATAGAGCAGTTTTGAAACACTCTTTTTGTAATATCTGCAAGAGGATATTTGGATAGCTTTGAGGATTTCGTTGGAAACGGGATTAATTATACAAAGCAGACAGCAGCATTCTCAGAAGCTTCATTGGGATGTTTCAATTGAAGTCACAGTGTTGAAAAGTCCCTTTCATAGAGCAGGTTTGAAACACTCTTTTTGTAGTATCTGGAAGTGGACATTTGGAGCGCTCTCAGGTCTGCGGTGAAAAAGGAACTATCTTCCAATAAAAGCTAGATAGAAGCAATGTCAGAAACTTTTTCATGATGTATCTACTCAGCTAACAGAGTTGAACTTTTGTTTTGAGAGAGCCGTTTTGAAACACTCTTTTTGTGGAATCTGCAAGTGGATATTTGTCTAGCTTTGATGATTTCGTTGGAAACGGGATTACATATAAAAAGCAGACAGCAGCATTCCCAGTAACTTCTTTGTGATGTTTGCATTCAAGTCACAGAGTTGAACATTCCCTTTCATAGAGCAGGTTTGAAACACTCTTTTTGTAGTATCTGGATGTGGACATTTGGAGCGCTTTCAGGCCTATGGTGAAAAAGGAAATATCTTCCCCTGAAAACTAGACAGAAGCATTCTCAGAATCTTATTTGTGATGTGCGCCCTCAACTAACAGTGTTGAAGCTTTCTTTTGATAGAGCAGTTTTGAAACACTCTTTTTGTAAAATCTGCAAGAGGATATTTGGATAGCTTTGAGGATTTCTTTGGAAACGGGATTGTCTTCATATAAACTCTAGACAGAAGCATTCTCAGAAGCTTCATTGGGATGTTTCAATTGAAGTCACAGTGTTGAACAGTCCCTTTCATAGAGCAGGTTTGAAACACTCTTTTTGTAGTATCTGGATGTGGACATTTGGAGCGCTTTCAGGCCTATGGTGAAAAAGGAAATATCTTCCCCTGAAAACTAGACAGAAGCATTCTCAGAAACTTATTTGTGATGTGCGCCCTCAACTAACAGTGTTGAAGCATTCTTTTGATAGAGCAGTTTTGAAACACTCTTTTTGTGGAATCTGCAAGTGGATGTTTGTCTAGCTTTGAGGATTTCGTTGGAAACGGGATTACATATAAAAAGCAGACAGCAGCATTCTCAGAAACTTATTTGTGATGTGCGCCCTCAACTAACAGTGTTGAAGCTTTCTTTTGATAGAGCAGTTTTGAAACACTCTTTTTGTAATATCTGCAAGAGGATATTTGGATAGCTTTGAGGATTTCGTTGGAAACGGGATTAATTATACAAAGCAGACAGCAGCATTCTCAGAAGCTTCATTGGGATGTTTCAATTGAAGTCACAGTGTTGAACAGTCCCTTTCATAGAGCAGGTTTGAAACACTCTTTTTGTAGTATCTGGAAGTGGACATTTGGAGCGCTCTCAGGACTACGGTGAAAAAGGAAGTATCTTCCAATAAAAGCTAGATAGAAGCAATGTCAGAAAATTTTTCATGATGTATCTACTCAGCTAACAGAGTTGTACCTTTCTTTTGAGAGAGCAGTTTTGAAACACTCTTTTTGTGGAATCTGGAAGTGGATATTTGTCTAGCTTTGAGGATTGCGTTTGAAACGGGATTACATATAAAAAGCAGACAGCAGCATTCCCAGAATCTTCTTTGTGATGTTTGCATTCAAGTCACAGAGTTGAAAATTCCCTTTCATAGAGCAGGTTTGAAACACTCTTTTTATAGTATCTGGATGTGGACATTTGGAGCGCTTTCAGGCCTAAGGTGAAAAAGGAAATATATTCTCCTGAAAACTAGACAGAAGCATTCTCAGAATGTTATTTGTTATGTGCGCCCTCAACTAACAGTGCTGAAGCTTTCTTTTGATAGAGCAGTTTTGAAACACTCTTTTTGTAAAATCTGCAAGAGGATATTTGGATAGCTTTGAGGATTTCTTTGGTAACGGGATTGTCTTCATATAAACTCTAGACAGAAGCATTCTCAGAAGCTTCATTGGGATGTTTCAATTGAAGTCACAGTGTTGAACAGTCCCTTTCATAGAGCAGGTTTGAAACACTCTTTTTGTAGTATCTGGATGTGGACATTTCGAGCGCTTTCAGGCCTATGGTGAAAAAGGAAATATCTTCCCCTGAAAACTAGACAGATGCATTCTCAGAATCTTATTTGTGATGTGCGCCCTCAACTAACAGTGTTGAAGCTTTTTTTTGATAGAGCAGTTTTGAAACACTCTTTTTGTAAAATTTGTAAGAGGATATTAGGATAGCTTTGAGGATTTCGTTGGAAACGGGATTGTCTTCATATAAACTCTAGACAGAAGCATTCTCAGAAGCTTCATTGGGATGTTTCAATTGAAGTCACAGTGTTGAACAGTCCCTTTCATAGAGCAGGTTTGAAACACTCTTTTTGTAAAATCTGCAAGAGGATATTTGGATAGCTTTGAGGATTTCTTTGGAAACGGGATTGTCTTCATATAAACTCTAGACAGAAGCATTCTCAGAAGCTTCATTGGGATGTTTCAATTGAAGTCACAGTGTTGAACAGTCCCTTTCATAGAGCAGGTTTGAAACACTCTTTTTGTAGTATCTGGAAGTGGACATTTGGAGCGCTCTCAGGACTGCGGTGAAAAAGGAAATATCTTCCAATAAAAGCTAGATAGAAGCAATGTCAGAAACTTTTTCATGATGTATCTACTCAGCTAACAGAGTTGAACCTTTCTTTTGAGAGAGCAGTTTTGAAACACTCTTTTTGTGGAATCTGCAAGTGGATATTTGTCTAGCTTTGAGGATTTCGTTGGAAACGGGATTACATATAAAAAGCAGACAGCAGCATTCCCAGTAACTTCTTTGTGATGTTTGCATTCAAGTCACAGAGTTGAACATTCCCTTTCATAGAGCAGGTTTGAAACACTTTTTTTGTAGTATCTGGATGTGGACATTTGGAGCGCTTTCAGGCCTATGGTGAAAAAGGAAATATCTTCCAATAAAAGCTACATAGAAGTATTCTCAGAATCGTATTTGTGATGTGCGCCCTCAACTAACAGTGTTGAAGCTTTCTTTTGATAGAGCAGTTTTGAAACACTCTTTTCGTAAAATCTGCAAGAGGATATTTTGATAGCTTTGAGGATTTCGTTGGAAACGGGATTGTCTTCATATAAACTCTAGACAGAAGCATTCTCAGAAGCTTCATTGGGATGTTTCAATTGAAGTCACAGTGTTGAACAGTCCCTTTCATAGAGCAGGTTTGAAACACTCTTTTTGTAGTATCTGGAAGTGGACATTTGGAGCGCTCTCAGGACTACGGTGATAAAGGAAATATCTTCCAATAAAAGCTAGATAGAAGCAATGTCAGAAACTTTTTCATGATGTATCTACTCAGCTAACAGAGTTGAACCTTTCTTTTGAGAGAGCAGTTTTGAAACACTCTTTTCGTAAAATCTGCAAGAGGATATTTGGATAGCTTTGAGGATTTCGTTGGAAACGGGATTGTCTTCATATAAACTCTAGACAGAAGCATTCTCAGAAGCTTCATTGGGATGTTTCAATTGAAGTCACAGTGTTGAACAGTCCCTTTCATAGAGCAGGTTTGAAACACTCTTTTTGTAGTATCTGGATGTGGACATTTCGAGCGCTTTCAGGCCTATGGTGAAAAAGGAAATATCTTCCCCTGAAAACTAGACAGAAGCATTCTCAGAAACTTATTTGTGATGTGCGCCCTCAACTAACAGTGTTGAAGCTTTCTTTTGATAGAGCAGTTTTGAAACACTCTTTTTGTGGAATCTGCAAGTGGATGTATGTCTAGCTTTGAGGATTTCGTTGGAAACGGGATTACATATAAAAAGCAGACAGCAGCATTCTCAGAAACTTATTTGTGATGTGCGCCCTCAACTAACAGTGTTGAAGCTTTCTTTTGATAGAGCAGTTTTGAAACACTCTTTTTGTAATATCTGCAAGAGGATATTTGGATAGCTTTGAGGATTTCGTTGGAAACGGGATTAATTATACAAAGCAGACAGCAGCATTCTCAGAAGCTTCATTGGGATGTTTCAATTGAAGTCACAGTGTTGAACAGTCCCTTTCATAGAGCAGGTTTGAAACACTCTTTTTGTAGTATCTGGAAGTGGACATTTTGAGAGATCTCAGGAATACGGTGATAAAGGTAATATCTTCCAATAAAAGCTAGATAGAAGCAATGTCAGAAACTTTTTCATGATGTATCTACTCAGCTAACAGAGTTGAACCTTTCTTTTGAGAGAGCAGTTTTGAAACACTCTTTTTGTGGAATCTGCAAGTGGATATTTGTCTAGCATTGAGGATTTCGTTGGAAACGGGATTACATATAAAAAGCAGACAGCAGCATTCCCAGTAACTTCTTTGTGATGTTTGCATTCAAGTCACAGAGTTGAACATTCCCTTTCATAGAGCAGGTTTGAAACACTTTTTTTGTAGTATCTGGATGTGGACATTTGGAGCGCTTTCAGGCCTATGGTGAAAAAGGAAATATCTTCCAATAAAAGCTACATAGAAGCATTCTCAGAAACTTATTTGTGATGTGCGCCCTCAACTAACAGTGTTGAAGCTTTCTTTTGATAGAGCAGTTTTGAAACACTCTTTTTGTAATATCTGCAAGAGGATATTTGGATAGCTTTGAGGATTTCGTTGGAAACGGGATTGTCTTCATATAAACTCTAGACAGAAGCATTCTCAGAAGCTTCATTGGGATGTTTCAATTGAAGTCACAGTGTTGAACAGTCCCTTTCATAGAGCAGGTTTGAAACACTCTTTTTGTAGTATCTGGATGTGGACATTTGGAGCGCTTTCAGGCCTATGGTGAAAAAGGAAATATCTTCCCCTGAAAACTAGACAGAAGCATTCTCAGTAAACTTATTTGTGATGTGCGCCCTCAACTAACAGTGTTGAAGCATTCTTTTGATAGAGCAGTTTTGAAACACTCTTTTTGTGGAATCTGCAAGTGGATATTTGTCTAGCTTTGAGGATTTCGTTGGAAACGGGATTACATATAAAAAGCAGACAGCAGCATTCTCAGTAAACTTATTTGTGATGTGCGCCCTCAACTAACAGTGTTGAACCTTTCTTTTGATAGAGCAGTTTTGAAACACTCTTTTTGTAATATCTGCAAGAGGATATTTGGATAGCTTTGAGGATTTCGTTGGAAACGGGATTGTCTTCATATAAACTCTAGACAGAAGCATTCTCAGAAGCTTCATTGGGATGTTTCAATTGAAGTCACAGTGTTGAACAGTCCCTTTCATAGAGCAGGTTTGAAACACTCTTTTTGTAGTATCTGGAAGTGGACATTTTGAGCGCACTCAGGACTATGGCGAAAAAGCAAATATCTTCCAATAAAAGCTACATAGAAGCAATGTCAGAAACTTTTTCATGATGTATCTACTCAGCTAACAGAGTTGAACCTTTCTTTTGAGAGAGCAGTTTTGAAACACTCTTTTTGTGGAATCTGGAAGTGGATATTTGTCTAGCTTTGAGGATTTCGTTGGAAACGGGATTACATATAAAAAGCAGACAGCAGCATTCCCAGTAACTTCTTTGTGATGTTTGCATTCAAGTCACAGAGTTGAACATTCCCTTTCATAGAGCAGGTTTGAAACACTCTTTTTGTAGTATCTGGATGTGGACATTTGGAGCGCTTTCAGGCCTATGGTGAAAAAGGAAATATCTTCCCCTGAAAACTAGACAGAAGCATTCTCAGAAACTTATTTGTGATGTGCGCCCTCAACTAACAGTGTTGAAGCTTTCTTTTGATAGAGCAGTTTTGAAACACTCTTTTTGTAATATCTGCAAGAGGATATTTGGATAGCTTTGAGGATTTCATTGGAAACGGGATTGTCTTCATATAAACTCTAGACAGAAGCATTCTCAGAAGCGTCATTGGGATATTTCAATTGAAGTCACAGTGTTGAACAGTCCCTTTCATAGAGCAGGTTTGAAACACTCTTTTTGTAGTATCTGGATGTGGACATTTGGAGCGCTTTCAGGCCTATGGTTTAAAAGGAAATATCTTCCCCTGAAAACTAGACAGAAGCATTCTCAGAAACTTATTTGTGATGTGCGCCCTCAACTAACAGTGTTGAACCTTTCTTTTGATAGAGCAGTTTTGAAACACTCTTTTTGTAATATCTGCAAGAGGATATTTGGATAGCTTTGAGGATTTCGTTGGAAACGGGATTACATATAAAAAGCAGACAGCAGCATTCTCAGCAAACTTATTTGTGATGTGCGCCCTCAACTAACAGTGTGGAACTTTTCTTTTGATAGAGCAGTTTTGAAACACTCTTTTTGTAAAATCTGCAAGAGGATATTTGGATAGCTTTGAGGATTTCGTTGGAAACGGGATTGTCTTCATATAGAATCTAGACAGAAGCATTCTCAGAAGCTTCATTGGGATGTTTCAATTGAAGTCACAGTGTTGAACAGTCCCTTTCATAGAGCAGGTTTGAAACACTCTTTTTGTAGTATCTGGAAGTGGACATTTGGAGCGCTCTCATGACTACGGTGAAAAAGGAAATATCTTCCAATAAAAGCTAGATAGAAGCAATGTCAGAAACTTTTTCATGGTGTATCTACTCAGCTAACAGAGTTGAACCTTTCTTTTGAGAGAGCAGTTTTGAAACACTCTTTTTGTGGAATCTGCAAGTGGATATTTGTCTAGCTTTGAGGATTTCGTTGGAAACGGGATTACATATAAAAAGCAGACAGCAGCATTCCCAGAAACTTCTTTGTGATGTTTGCATTCAAGTCACAGAGTTGAACATTCCCTTTCATAGAGCAGGTTTGAAACACTCTTTTTGTAGTATCTGGATGTGGACATTTGGAGCGCTTTCAGGCCTATGGTGAAAAAGGAAATATCTTCCCCTGAAAACTAGACAGAAGCATTCTCAGAAACTTATTTGTGATGTGCGCCCTCAACTAACAGTGTTGAACCTTTCTTTTGATAGAGCAGTTTCGAAACACTCTTTTTGTAAAATCTGCAAGAGGATATTTGGATAGCTTTGAGGATTTCGTTGGAAACGGGATTGTCTTCATATAAACTCTAGACAGAAGCATTCTCAGAAGCTTCATTGGGATGTTTCAATTGAAGTCACAGTGTTGAACAGTCCCTTTCATAGAGCAGGTTTGAAACACTCTTTTTGTAGTATCTGGATGTGGACATTTCGAGCGCTTTCAGGCCTATGGTGAAAAAGGAAATATCTTCCCCTGAAAACTAGACAGAAGCATTCTCAGAAACTTATTTGTGATGTGCGCCCTCAACTAACAGTGTTGAAGCTTTCTTTTGATAGAGCAGTTTTGAAACACTCTTTTTGTGGAATCTGCAAGTGGATATTTGTCTAGCTTTGAGGATTTCGTTGGAAACGGGATTACATATAAAAAGCAGACAGCAGCATTCTCAGAAACTTATTTGTGATGTGCGCCCTCAACTAACAGTGTTGAAGCTTTCTTTTGATAGAGCAGTTTTGAAACACTCTTTTTGTAATATCTGCAAGAGGATATTTGGATAGCTTTGAGGATTTCGTTGGAAACGGGATTAATTATACAAAGCAGACAGCAGCATTCTCAGAAGCTTCATTGGGATGTTTCAATTGAAGTCACAGTGTTGAACAGTCCCTTTCATAGAGCAGGTTTGAAACACTCTTTTTGTAGTGTCTGGAAGTGGACATTTGGAGGGCTCTCAGGACTACGGTGAAAAAGGAAGTATCTTCCAATAAAAGCTAGAGAGAAAGCAATGTCAGAAACTTTTTCATGATGTATCTACTCAGCTAACAGAGTGGAACCTTTCTTTTGAGAGAGAAGTTTTGAAACACTCTTTTTGTGGAATCTGCAAGTGGATATTTGTCTAGCTTTGAGGATTTCGTTGGAAACGGGTTTACATATAAAAAGCAGACAGCAGCATTCCCAGTAACTTCTTTGTGATGTTTGCATTCAAGTCACAGAGTTGAACATTCCCTTTCATAGAGCAGGTTTGAAACACTTTTTTTGTAGTATCTGGATGTGGACATTTGGAGCGCTTTCAGGCCTATGGTGAAAAAGGAAATATCTTCCAATAAAAGCTACATAGAAGCAATGTCAGAAACTTTTTCATGATGTATCTACTCAGCTAACAGAGTTGAACCTTTTTTTTGAGAGAGCAGTTTTGAAACACTCTTTTTGTAAAATCTGCAAGAGGATATTTGGATAGCTTTGAGGATTTCGTTGGAAACGGGATTGTCTTCATATAAACTCTAGACAGAAGCATTCTCAGAAGCGTCATTGGGATGTTTCAATTGAAGTCACAGTGTTGAACAGTCCCTTTCATAGAGCAGGTTTGAAACACTCTTTTTGTAGTATCTGGATGTGGACATTTGGAGCGCTTTCAGGCCTATGGTTTAAAAGGAAATATCTTCCCCTGAAAACTAGACAGAAGCATTCTCAGAAACTTATTTGTGATGTGCGCCCTCAACTAACAGTGTTGAAGCTTTCTTTTGATAGAGCAGTTTTGAAACACTCTTTTTGTGGAATCTGCAAGTGGATATTTGTCTAGCTTTGAGGATTTCGTTGGAAACGGGATTACATATAAAAAGCAGACAGCAGCATTCTCAGAAACTTATTTGTGATGTGCGCCCTCAACTAACAGTGTTGAAGCTTTATTTTGATAGAGCAGTTTTGAAACACTCTTTTTGTAATATCTGCAAGAGAATATTTGGATAGCTTTGAGGATTTCGTTGGAAACGGGATTGTCTTCATATAAACTCTAGAAAGAAGCATTCTCAGAAGCTTCATTGGCATGTTTCAATTGAAGTCACAGTGTTGAACAGTTCCTTTCATAGAACAGGTTTGAAACACTCTTTTTGTAGTATCTGGAAGTGGACATTTGGAGGGCTCTCAGGACTATGGTGAAAAAGGAAATATCTTCCAATAAAAGCTACATAGAAGCAATGTCAGAAACTTTTTCATGATGTATCTACTCAGCTAACAGAGTTGAACCTTCCTTTGAGAGAGCAGTTTTGAAACACTCTTTTTGTGGAATCTGCAAGTGGATATTTGTCTAGCTTTGAGGATTTCGTTGGAAACGGGATTACATATAAAAAGCAGACAGCCAGCATTCCCAGTAATCTTGTTTGTGATGTTTGCATTCAAGTCACAGAGTTGAACATTCCCTTTCAGAGAGCAGGTTTGAAACACTCTTTTTATAGTATCTGGATGTGGACATTTGGAGCGCTTTCAGGCCTATGGTGAAAAAGGAAATATCTTCTCCTGAAAACTAGACAGAAGCATTCTCAGAATCTTATTTGTGATGTGCGCCCTCAACTAACAGTGTTGAAGCTTTCTTTTGATAGAGCAGTTTTGAAACACTCTTTTTGTAAAATCTGCAAGAGGATATTTGGATAGCTTTGAGGATTTCGTTGGAAACGGGATTGTCTTCATATAAACTCTAGACAGAAGCATTCTCAGAAGCTTCATTGGGATGTTTCAATTGAAGTTACAGTGTTGAACAGTCCCTTTCATAGAGCAGGTTTGAAACACTCTTTTTGTAGTATCTGGATGTGGACATTTGGAGCGCTTTCAGGCCTATGGTTTAAAAGGAAATATCTTCCCCTGAAAACTAGACAGAAGCATTCTCAGAAACTTATTTGTGATGTGCGCCCTCAACTAACAGTGTTGAAGCATTCTTTTGATAGAGCAGTTTTGAAACACTCTTTTTGTGGAATCTGCAAGTGGATATTTGTCTAGCTTTGAGGATTTCGTTGGAAACGGGATTACATATAAAAAGCAGACAGCAGCATTCTCAGTAAACTTATTTGTGATGTGCGCCCTCAACTAACAGTGTTGAACCTTTCTTTTGATAGAGCAGTTTTGAAACACTCTTTTTGTAATATCTGCAAGAGGATATTTGGATAGCTTTGAGGATTTCGTTGGAAACGGGATTGTCTTCATATAAACTCTAGACAGAAGAATTCTCAGAAGCTTCATTGGGATGTTTCAATTGAAGTCACAGTGTTGAACAGTCCCTTTCATAGAGCAGGTTTGAAACACTCTTTTTGTAGTATCTGGAAGTTGACATTTGGAGCGCTCTCAGGACTACGGTGAAAAAGGAAATATCTTCCAATAAAAGCTAGATAGAAGCAATGTCAGAAACTTTTTCATGATGTATCTACTCAGCTAACAGAGTTGAACCTTTCTTTTGAGAGAGCAGTTTTGAAACACTCTTTTTGTGGAATCTGCAAGTGGATATTTGTCTAGCTTTGAGGATTTCGTTGGAAACGGGATTACATATAAAAAGCAGACAGCAGCATTCCCAGAAACTTCCTTGTGATGTTTGCATTCAAGTCACAGAGTTGAACATTCCCTTTCATAGAGCAGGTTTGAAACACTCTTTTTGTAGTATCTGGATGTGGACATTTGGAGCGCTTTCAGGCCTATGGTGAAAAAGGAAATATCTTCCCCTGAAAACTAGACAGAAGCATTCTCAGAATCTTATTTGTGATGTGCGCCCTCAACTAACAGTGTTGAAGCTTTCTTTTGATAGAGCAGTTTTGAAACACTCTTTTTGTAAATTCTGCAAGAGGATATTTGGATATCTCTGAGGATTTCGTTGGAAACGGGATTGTCTTCATATAAACTCTAGACAGAAGCATTCTCAGAAGCTTCATTGGGATGTTTCAATTGAAGTCACAGTGTTGAACAGTCCCTTTCATAGAGCAGGTTTGAAACACTCTTTTTGTAGTATCTGGATGTGGACATTTGGAGCGCTTTCAGGCCTATGGTGAAAAAGGAAATATCTTCCCCTGAAAACTAGATAGAAGCATTCTCAGAAACTTATTTGTGATGTGCGCCCTCAACTAACAGTGTTGAAGCTTTCTTTTGATAGAGCAGTTTTGAAACACTCTTTTTGTGGGATCTGCAAGTGGATATTTGTCTAGATTTGAGGATTTCGTTGGAAACGGGATTACATATAAAAAGCAGACAGCTAAGCATTCTCCGAAACTTATTTGTGATGGGCGCCCTCAACTAACAGTGTTGAAGCTTTCTTTTGATAGAGCAGTTTTGAAACACTCTTTTTGTAATATCTGCAAGAGGATATTTGGATAGCTTTCAGGATTTCGTTGGAAACGGGATTGTCTTCATATAAACTCTAGACATAAGCATTCTCAGAAGCTTCATTGGGATGTTTCAATTGAAGTCACAGTGTTGAACAGTCCCTTTCATAGAGCAGGTTTGAAACACTCTTTTTGTAGTATCTGGAAGTGGACATTTGGAGAGATCTCAGGAATACCGGTGATAAAGGAATTATCTTCCAATAAAAGCTAGATAGAAGCAATGTCAGAAACTTTTTCATGATGTATCTACTCAGCTAACAGAGTTGAACCTTTCTTTTGAGAGAGCAGTTTTGAAACACTCTTTTTGTGGAATCTGCAAGTGGATATTTGTCTAGCTTTGAGGATTTCGTTGGAAACGGGATTACATATAAAAAGCAGACAGCAGCATTCCCAGTAACTTCTTTGTGATGTTTGCATTCAAGTCACAGAGTTGAACATTCCCTTTCATAGAGCAGGTTTGAAACACTCTTTTTGTAGTATCTGGATGTGGACATTTGCAGCGCTTTCAGGCATAAGGTGAAAAAGGAAATATCTTCCCCTGAAAACTAGACAGAAGCATTCTCAGAAACTTATTTGTGATGTGCGCCCTCAACTAACAGTGTTGAAGCTTTCTTTTGATAGAGCAGTTTTGAAACACTCTTTTTGTAAAATCTGCAAGAGGATATTTGGATAGCTTTGAGGATTTCGTTGGAAACGGGATTGTCTTCATATACAATCTAGACAGAAGCATTCTCAGAAGCTTCATTGGGATGTTTCAATTAAAGTCACAGTGTTGAACAGTCCCTATCGTAGAGCAGGTTTGAAACACTCTTTTTGTAATATCTGGAAGTGGAGATTTGGAGCGCTCTCAGGAGTACGGTGAAAAAGGAAATATCTTCCAATAAAAGCTAGATAGAAGCAATGTCAGAAACTTTTTCATGATGTATCTACTCAGCTAACAGAGTTGAACCTTTTTTTTGAGAGAGCAGTTTTGAAACACTCTTTTTGTTGGATCTGCAGGTGGATATTTGTCTAGCTTTGAGGATTTCGTTGGAAACGGGATTACATATAAAAAGCAGACAGCAGCATTCCCAGAAACTTCTTTGTGATATTTGCATTCAAGTCACAGACTTGAACATTCCCTTTCATAGAGCAGGTTTGAAACACTCTTTTTGTAGTATCTGGATGTGGACATTTGGAGCGCTTTCAGGCCTATGGTGAAAAAGGAAATATCTTCCCCTGAAAACTAGACAGAAGCATTCTCAGAATCTTATTTGTGATGTGCGCCCTCAACTAACAGTGTAGAACTTTTCTTTTGATAGAGCTGTTTTGAAACACACTTTTTGTAAAATCTGCAAGAGGATATTTGGATAGCTTTGAGGATTTCGTTGGAAACGGGATTGTCTTCATATAAACTCTAGACAGTAGCATTCTCAGAAGCGTCATTGGGATGTTTCAATTGAAGTCACAGTGTTGAACAGTCCCTTTCATAGAGCAGGTTTGAAACACTCTTTTTGTAGTATCTGGATGTGGACATTTGGAGCGCTTTCAGGCCTATGGTTTAAAAGGAAATATCTTCCCCTGAAAACTAGACAGAAGCATTCTCAGAAACTTATTTGTGATGTGCGCCCTCAACTAACAGTGTTGAAGCATTCTTTTGATAGAGCAGTATTGAAACACTCTTTTTGTGGAATCTGCAAGTGGATATTTGTCTAGCTTTGAGGATTTCGTTGGAAAAGGAATTACATATAAAAAGCAGACAGCAGCATTCTCAGAAACTTATTTGTGATGTGCGCCCTCAACTAACAGTGTTGAAGCTTTCTTTTGATAGAGCAGTTTTGAAACACTCTTTTTGTAATATCTGCAAGAGGATATTTGGATAGCTTTGAGGATTTCGTTGGAAACGGGATTAATTATACAAAGCAGACAGCAGCATTCTCAGAAGCTTCATTGGGATGTTTCAATTGAAGTCACAGTGTTGAACAGTCCCTTTCATAGAGCAGGTTTGAAACACTTTTTTTGTAGCATCTGGAAGTGGACATTTGGAGCGTTCTCAGGACTACGGTGAAAAAGGAAATATCTTCCAATAAAAGCTAGATAGAAGCAATATCAGAAACTTTTTCATGATGTATCTACTCAGCTAAAAGAGTTGAACCTTTCTTTTGAGAGAGCAGTTGTGAAACACTATTTTTGTGGAAACTGCAAGTGGATATTTGTCTAGCTTTGAGGATTTCGTTGGAAACGGGATTACATATAAAATCAGATAGCAGCATTCCCAGAATCTTCTTTGTGATGTTTGCATTGAAGTCACAGAGTTGAACATTCCCTTTCATAGAGCAGGTTTGAAACACTCTTTTTGTAGTATCTGGATGTGGACATTTGGAGCACTTTCAGGCCTATGGTGAAAAAGGAAATATCTTCCCCTGAAAACTAGACAGAAGCATTCTCAGAATCTTATTTGTGATGAGCGCCCTCAACTAACAGTGTTTAACCTTTCTTTTGATAGAGCAGTTTTGAAACACTCTTTTTGTAATATCTGCAAGAGGATATTTGGATAGCTTTGAGGATTTCGTTGGAAACGGGATTGTCTTCATATAAACTCTAGACAGAAGTATTCTCAGAAGCTTCATTGGGATGTTTCAATTGAAGTCACAGTGTTGAACAGTCCCTTTCATAGAGCAGGTTTGAAACACTCTTTTTGTAGTATCCGGATGTGGACATTTGGAGCGCTTTCAGGCCTATGGTGAAAAAGGAAATATCTTCCCCTGAAAACTAGACAGAAGCATTCTCAGAAACTTATTTGTGATGTGCGCCCTCAACTAACAGTGTTGAAGCTTTCTTTTGATAGAGCAGTTTTGAAAAACTCTTTTTGTGGAATCTGCAAGTGGATATTTGTCTAGCTTTGAGGATTTCGTTGGAAACGGGATTACATATAAAAAGCAGACAGCAGCATTCTCAGAAACTTATTTGTGATGTGCGCCCTCAACTAACAGTGTTGAAGCTTTATTTTGATAGAGCAGTTTTGAAACACTCTTTTTGTAATATCTGCAAGAGAATATTTGGATAGCTTTGAGGATTTCGTTGGAAACGGGATTGTCTTCATATAAACTCTAGAAAGAAGCATTCTCAGAAGCTTCATTGGGATGTTTCAATTGAAGTCACAGTGTTGAACAGTCCCTTTCATAGAGCAGGTTTGAAACACTCTTTTTGTAGTATCTGGAAGTGGACATTTGGAGCGCTCTCAGGACTACGGTGAAAAAGGAAGTATCTTCCAATAAAAGCTAGATAGAAGCAATGTCAGAAACTTTTTCATGATGTATCTACTCAGCTAACAGAGTTGAACCTTTCTTTTGAGAGAGCAGTTTTGAAACACTCTTTTTGTGGAATCTGCAAGTGGATATTTGTCTAGCTTTGAGGATTTCGTTGGAAACGGGATTACATATAAAAAGCAGACAGCAGCATTCCCAGAAACTTCTTTGTGAAGTTAGCATTCAAGTCACAGAGTTGAACATTCCCTTTCATAGAGCAGGTTTGAAACACTCTTTTTGTAGTATCTGGATGTGGACATTTGGAGCGCTTTCAGGCCTATGGTGAAAAAGGAAATATCTTCCCCTGAAAACTAGACAGAAGCATTCTCAGAATCTTATTTGTGATGTGCGCCCTCAACTAACAGTGTTGAAGCTTTCTTTTGATAGAGCAGTTTTGAAACACTCTTTTTGTAAAATCTGCAAGAGGATATTTGGATAGCTTTGAGGATTTCGTTGGAAACGGGATTGTCTTCATATAAACTCTAGACAGAAGCATTCTCAGAAGCTTCATTGGGATGTTTCAATTGAAGTCACAGTGTTGAACAGTCCCTTTCATAGAGCAGGTTTGAAACACTCTTTGTAGTATCTGGAAGTGGACCTTTGGAGCGCTCTCAGGACTACGGTGGAAAAGGAAGTATCTTCCAATAAAAGCTAGATAGAAGCAATGTCAGAATCTTTTTCATGATGTGTCTACTCAGCTAACAGAGTTGAACCTTCATTTGAGAGAGCAGTTTTGAAACACTCGTTTTGTGGAATCTGCAAGTGGATATTTGTCTAGCTTTGAGGATTTCGTTGGAAACGGGATTACATATAAAAAGCAGACAGCAGCATTCCCAGAATCTTCTTTGTGATGTTTGCATTCAAGTCACAGAGTTGAACATTCCCTTTCATAGAGCAGGTTTGAAACACTCTTTTTGTAGTATCTGGATGTGGACATTTGGAGCGCTTTCAGGCCTATGGTGAAAAAGGAAATATCTTCCCCTGAAAACTAGACAGAAGCATTCTCAGAAACTTATTTGTGATGTGCGCCCTCAACTAACAGTGTTAAACCTTTCTTTTGATAGAGTAGTTTTGAAACACTCTTTTTGTAAAATCTGCAAGAGGATATTTGGATAGCTTTGAGGATTTCGTTGGAAACGGGATTGTCTTCATATAAACTCTAGACAGTAGCATTCTCAGAAGCTTCATTGGGATGTTTCAATTGAAGTCACAGTGTTGAACAGTCCCTTTCATAGAGCAGGTTTGAAACACTCTTTTTGTAGTATCTGGATGTGGACATTTGGAGCGCTTCCAGGCCTATGGTTTAAAAGGAAATATCTTCCCCTGAAAACTAGACAGAAGCATTCTCAGAAACTTATTTGTGATGTGCGCCCTCAACTAACAGTGTTGAAGCTTTCTTTTGATAGAGCAGTTTTGAAACACTCTTTTTGTGGAATCTGCAAGTGGATATTTGTCTAGCTTTGAGGATTTCGTTGGAAACGGGATTACATATAAAAAGCAGACAGCAGCATTCCCAGAAACTTCTTTGTGATGTTTGCATTCAAGTCACAGAGTTGAACATTCCCTTTCATATAGCAGGTTTGAAACACTCTTTTTGTAGTATCTGGATGTGGACATTTGGAGCGCTTTCAGGCCTATGGTGAAAAACGAAATATCTTCCCCTGAAAACTAGACAGAAGCATTCTCAGAAGCTTCATTGGGATGTTTCAACTGAAGTCACAGTGTTGAACAGTCCCTTTCATAGAGCAGGTTTGAAACACTCTTTTTGTAGCATCTGGAAGTGGACATTTGCAGCGCTCTCAGGACTACGGTGAAAAAGGAAATATCTTCCAATAAAAGCTAGATAGAAGCAATGTCAGAAACTTTTTCATGATGTATCTACTCAGCTAACAGAGTTGAACATTTTGTTTGAGAGAGCAGTTTTGAAACACGCTTTTTGAGGAATCTATAGGTGGATATTTGTCTAGCTTTCAGGATTTCGTTGGAAACGGGATTACATATAAAAAGAAGACAGCAGCATTCCCAGAAACTTCTTTGTGATGTTTGCATTCAAGTCACAGAGTTGAACATTCCCTTTCATAGAGCAGGTTTGAAACACTCTTTTTGTAGTATCTGGATGTGGACATTTGGAGCGCTTTCAGGCCTATGGTGAAAAAGGAAATATCTTCCCCTGAAAACTAGACAGAAGCATTCTCAGAATTTTATTTGTGATGTGCGCCCTCAACTAACAGTGTTGAAGCTTTCTTTTGATAGAGCAGTTCTGAAACACTCTTTTTGTAAAATCTGCAAGAGGATATTTGGATAGCTTTGAGGATTTCTTTGGAAACGGGATTGTCTTCATATAAACTCTAGACAGAAGCATTCTCAGAAGCTTCATTGGGGATGTTTCAATTGAAGTCACAGTGTTGAACAGTCCCTTTCATAGAGCAGGTTTGAAACACTCTTTTTGTAGTATCTGGATGTGGACATTTCGAGCGCTTTCAGGCCTATGGTGAAAAAGGAAATATCTTCCCCTGAAAACTAGACAGAAGCATTCTCAGAAACTTATTTGTGATGTGCGCCCTCAACTAACAGTGTTGAAGCTTTCTCTTGATAGAGCAGTTTTGAAACACTCTTTTTGTGGAATCTGCACGTGGATATTTGTCTAGCTTTGAGGATTTCGTTGGAAACGGGATTACATATAAAAAGCAGACAGCAGCATTCTCAGAAACTTATTTGTGATGTGCGCCCTCAACTAACACTGTTGAACCTTTCTTTTGATAGAGAAGTTTTGAAACACTCTTTTTGTAATATCTGCAAGAGGATATTTGGATAGATTTGAGGATTTCGTTGGAAACGGGATTGTCTTCATATAAACTCTAGACAGAAGCATTCTCAGAAGCTTCATTGGGATGTTTCAATTGAAGTCACAGTGTTGAACAGTCCCTTTCATAGAGCAGGTTTGAAACACTCTTTTTGTAGTATCTGGAAGTGGACATTTGGAGCGCTCTCAGGACTACGGTGATAAAGGAAATATCTTCCAATAAAAGCTAGATAGAAGCAATGTCACAAACTTTTTCATGATGTATCTACTCAGCTAAAAGAGTTGAAACTTTCTTTTGTGCGAGCAGTTTTGAAACACTATTTTTGTGGAATCTGCAAGTGGATATTTGTCTAGGTTTGAGGATTTCGTTGGAAACGGGATTACATATAAAAACAGACAGCAGCATTCCCAGAAACTTCTTTGTGATATTTGCATTGAAGTCACAGACTTGAACAGTCCGTTTCATAGAGCAGGTTTGAAACACTCTTTTTGTAGTATCTGGATGTGGACATTTGGAGCGCTTTCAGGCCTATGGTGAAAAAGGAAATATCTTCCCCTGAAAACTAGACAGAAGCATTCTCAGAAACTTATTTGTGATGTGCGCCCTCAACTAACAGTGTTGAAGCTTTCTTTTGATAGAGCAGTTTTGAAACACTCTTTTCGTAAAATCTGCAAGAGGATATTTTGATAGCTTTGAGGATTTCGTTGGAAACGGGATTGTCTTCATATAAACTCTAGACAGAAGCATTCTCAGAAGCTTCATTGGGATGTTTCAATTGAAGTCACAGTGTTGAACAGTCCCTTTCATAGAGCAGGTTTGAAACACTCTTTTTGTAGTATCTGGATGTGGACATTTGGAGCGCTTTCAGGCCTATGGTTTAAAAGGAAATATCTTCCCCTGAAAACTAGACAGAAGCATTCTCAGAAACTTATTTGTGATGTGCGCCCTCAACTAACAGTGTTGAAGCTTTCTCTTGATAGAGCAGTTTTGAAACACTCTTTTTGTGGAATCTGCACGTGGATATTTGTCTAGCTTTGAGGATTTCGTTGGAAACGGGATTACATATAAAAAGCAGACAGCAGCATTCTCAGAATCTTATTTGTGATGTGCGCCCTCAACTAACAGTGTTGAAGCTTTCTTTTGATAGAGCAGTTTTGAAACACTCTTTTTGTAAAATCTGCAATAGGATATTTGGATAGCTTTGAGGATTTCTTTGGAAACGGGATTGTCTTCATATAAACTCTAGACAGAAGCATTCTCAGAAGCTTCATTGGGATGTTTCAATTGAAGTCACAGTGTTGAACAGTCCCTTTCATAGAGCAGGTTTGAAACACTCTTTTTGTAGTATCTGGAAGTGGACATTTGGAGAGATCTCAGGAATACGGTGATAAAGGAAATATCTTCCAATAAAAGCTAGATAGAAGCAATGTCAGAAACTTTTTCATGACGTATCTACTCAGCTAACAGAGTTGAACCTTTCTTTTGAGAGAGCAGTTTTGAAACACTCTTTTTGTGGAATCTGCAAGTGGATATTTGTCTAGCTTTGAGGATTTCGTTTGAAACGGGATTACATATAAAAAGCAGACAGCAGCATTCCCAGAAACTTCTTTGTGAAGTTTGCATTGAAGTCACAGAGTTGAACATTCCCTTTCATAGAGCAGGTTTGAAACACTCTTTTTGTAGTATCTGTATGTGGACATTTGGAGCGCTTTCAGGCCTATGGTGAAAAAGGAAATATCTTCCCCTGAAAACTAGACAGAAGGATTCTCAGAATCTTATTTGTGATGTGCGCCCTCAACTAACAGTGTTGAAGCTTTCTTTTGATAGAGCAGTTTTGAAACACTCTTTTCGTAAAATCTGCAAGAGGATATTTTGATAGCTTTGAGGATTTCGTTGGAAACGGGATTGTCTTCATATAAACTCTAGACAGAAGCATTCTCAGAAGCTTCATTGGGATGTTTCAATTGAAGTCACAGTGTTGAACAGTCCCTTTCATAGAGCAGGTTTGAAACACTCTTTTTGTAGTATCTGGAAGTGGACATTTGGAGCGCTCTCAGGACTACGGTGATAAAGGAAATATCTTCCAATAAAAGCTAGATAGAAGCAATGTCAGAAACTTTTTCATGATGTATCTACTCAGCTAACAGAGTTGAACCTTTCTTTTGAGAGAGCAGTTTTGAAACACTCTTTTTGTGGAATCTGCAAGTGGATATTTGTCTAGCTTTGAGGATTTCGTTGGAAACGGGATTACATATAAAAAGCAGACAGCAGCATTCCCAGAAACTTCTTTGTGATGTTTGCACTCAAGTCACAGAGTTGAACATTCCCTTTCATAGAGCAGGTTTGAAACACTCTTTTTGTAGTATCTGTATGTGGACATTTGGAGCGCTTTCAGGCGTATGGTGAAAAAGGAAATATCTTCCCCTGAAAACTAGACAGAAGAATTCTCAGAATCTTATTTGTGATGTCCGCCCTCAACTAACAGTGTTGAAGCTTTCTTTTGATAGAGCAGTTTTGAAACACTCTTTTTGTAAAATCTGCAAGAGGATATTTGGATAGCTTTGAGGATTTCGTTGGAAACGGGATTGTCTTCATGTAAACTCTAGACAGAAGAATTCTCAGAAGCTTCATTGGGATGTTTCAATTGAAGTCACAGTGTTGAACAGTCCCTTTCATAGAGCAGGTTTGAAACACTCTTTTTGTAGTATCTGGATGTGGACATTTAGAGCGTTTGCAGGCCTTTGGTTTAAAAGGAAATATCTTCCCCTGAAAACTAGACAGAAGCATTCTCAGAAACTTATTTGTGATGTGCCCACTCAACTAACAGTGTTGAAGCATTCTTTTGATAGAGCAGTTTTGAAACACTCTTTTTGTGGAATCTGCAAGTGGATATTTGTCTAGCTTTGAGGATTTCGTTGGAAACGGGATTACATATAAAAAGCAGACAGCAGCATTCTCAGAAACTTATTTGTGATGTGCGCCCTCAACTAACAGTGTTGAAGCTTTCTTTTGATAGAGCAGTTTTGAAACACTCTTTTTGTAATATCTGCAAGAGGATATTTGGATAGCTTTGAGGATTTCGTTGGAAACGGGATTAATTATACAAAGCAGACAGCAGCATTCTCAGAAGCTTCATTGGGATGTTTCAATTGAAGTCACAGTGTTGAACAGTCCCTTTCATAGAACAGGTTTGAAACACTCTTTTTGTAGTACCTGGAAATGGACATTTGGAGCGCTCTCAGGACGATGGTGAAAAAGGAAATATTTTCCAATAAAAGCTAGATAGAAGCAATGTCAGAAAATTGTTCATGATGTATCTACTCAGCTAACAGAGTTGAACTTTTCTTTTGAGAGAGCAGTTTTGAAACACTCTTTTTGTGGAATCTGCAAGTGGATATTTGTCTAGCTTTGAGGATTTCGTTGGAAACGGGATTACATATAAAAAGCAGACAGCAGCATTCCCAGAAACTTCTTTGTGATGTTTGCATTCAAGTCACAGGGTTGAACATTCCCTTTCATAGAGCAGGTTTGAAACACTCTTTTTGTAGTATCTGGATGTGGACATTTGGAGCGCTTTCAGGCCTATGGTGAAAAAGGAAATATCTTCCCCTGAAAACTAGACAGAAGCATTCTCAGAAACTTATTTGTGATGTGCGCCCTCAACTAACAGTGTTGAAGCTTTCTTTTGATAGAGCAGTTTTGAAACACTCTTTTTGTAATATCTGCAAGAGGATATTTGGATAGCTTTGAGGATTTCGTTGGAAACGGGATTGTCTTCATATAAACTCTAGGCAGAAGCATTCTCAGAAGCTTCATTGGGATGTTTCAATTGAAGTCACAGTGTTGAACAGTCCCTTTCATAGAGCAGGTTTGAAACACTCTTTTTGTAGTATCTGGAAGTGGACATTTGGAACGCTCTCAGGACTGCGGTGAAAAAGGAAATATCTTCCAATAAAAGCTAGATAGAAGCAATGTCAGAAACTTTTTCATGATGTATCTACTCAGCTAACAGAGTTGAACCTTTTTTTTGAGAGAGCAGTTTTGAAACACTCTTTTTGTTCGATCTGCAGGTGGATATTTGTCTAGGTTTGAGGATTTCGTTGGAAACGGGATTACATATAAAAAACAGACAGCAGCATTCCCAGAAACTTCTTTGTGATGTTTGCATTCAAGTCACAGAGTTGAACATTCCCTTTCATAGAGCAGGTTTGAAACACTCTTTTTGTAGTATCTGGATGTGGACATTTGGAGCGCTCTCAGGCCTATGGTGAAAAAGGAAATATCTTCCCCTGCAAACTAGACAGAAGCATTCTCAGAAACTTATTTGTGATGTGCGCCCTCAACTAACAATGTTGAAGCTTTCTTTTGATAGAGCAGTTTTGAAACACTCTTTTTGTAAAATCTGCAAGAGGATATTTGCATAGCTTTGAGGATTTCGTTGGAAACGGGATTGTCTTCATCTAAAATCTAGACAAAAGCATTCTCAGAAGCTTCATTGGGATGTTTAAATTGAAGTCACAGTGTTGAACAGTCCCTTTCATAGAGCAGGTTTGAAACACTCTTTTTGTAGTATCTGGAAGTGGACATTTGGAGCGTTCTCAGGACTACGGTGAAAAAGGAAATATCTTCCAATAAAAGCTAGATAGAAGAAATGTCAGAAAATTTTTCAAGATGTATCTACTCAGCTAACAGAGTTGAACCTTTCTTTTGAGAGAACCGTTTTGAAACACTCTTTGTGTGGAATCTGCAAGTGGATATTTGTCTAGGTTTGAGGATTGCGTATGAAACGGGATTACATATAAAAAGCAGACAGCAGCATTCTCACAAACTTCTTGGTGATATTTGCATTCAAGTCACAGACTTGAACATTCCCTTTCATAGAGCAGGTTTGAAACACTCTTTTTGTAGTATCTGGATGTGGACATTTGGAGCGCTTTCAGGCCTATGGTGAAAAAGGAAATATCTTCCCCTGAAAGCTAGACAGAAGCATTCTCAGAAACTTATTTGTGATGTGCTCCCACAACTAACAGTGTTAAACCTTTCTATTGATAGAGTAGTTTTGAAACACTCTTTTTGTAAAATCTGCAAGAGGATATTTGGATAGCTTTGAGGATTTCGTTGGAAACGGGATTGTCTTCATCTAAAATCTAGACAGAAGCATTCTCAGAAGCTTCATTGGGATGTTTCAATTGAAGTCACAGTGTTGAACAGTCCCTTTCATAGAGCAGGTTTGAAACACTCTTTTTGTAGTATGTGGATGTGGACATTTCGAGCGCTTTCAGGCCTATGGTGAAAAAGGAAATATCTTCCCCTGAAAACTAGACAGAAGCATTCTCAGAAACTTATTTGTGATGTGCGCCCTCAACTAACAGTGTTGAAGCTTTCTTTTGATAGAGCAGTTTTGAAACACTTTTTTTGTGGAATCTGCAAGTGGATATTTGTCTAGCTTTGAGGATTTCGTTGGAAACGGGATTACATATAAAAAGCAGACAGCAAGCATTCTCAGCAAACTTATTTGTGATGTGCGCCCTCAACTAACAGTGTTGAAGCTTTCTTTTGATAGAGCAGTTTTGAAACACTCTTTTTGTAATATCTGCAAGAGAATATTTGGATAGCTTTGAGGATTTCGTTGGAAACGGGATTGTCTTCATATAAACTCTAGAAAGAAGCATTCTCAGAAGCTTCATTGGGATGTTTCAATTGAAGTCACAGTGTTGAACAGTTCCTTTCATAGAACAGGTTTGAAACACTCTTTTTGTAGTATCTGGAAGTGGACATTTGGAGCGCTCTCAGGACTATGGTGAAAAAGGAAATATCTTCCAATAAAAGCTACATAGAAGCAATGTCAGAAACTTTTTCATGATGTGTCTACTCAGCTAACAGAGTTGAACCTTTCCTTTGAGAGAGCAGTTTTGAAACACTCTTTTTGTGGAATCTGCAAGTGGATATTTGCTTAGCTTTGAGGATTTCGTTGGAAACCGGATTACATATAAAAAGCAGACAGCAGCATTCCCAGAAACTTCTTTGTGATGTTTGCATTCAAGTCACAGAGTTGAACATTCCCTTTCATAGAGCAGGTTTGAAACACTCTTTTTGTAGTATCTCGATGTGGACATTTGGAGCGCTTTCAGGCCTATGGTGAAAAAGGAAATATCTTCTCCTGAAAACTAGACAGAAGCATTCTCAGAAACTTATTTGTGATGTGCGCCCTCAACTAACAGTGTTAAACCTTTCTTTTGATAGAGTAGTTTTGAAACACTGTTTGTGCAAAATCTGCAAGAGGATATTTGGATAGCTTTGAGGATTTCGTTGGAAACGGGATTGTCTTCATATAAAATCTAGACAGAAGCATTCTCAGAAGCTTCATTGGGATGTTTCAATTGAAGTCACAGTGTTGAACAGTCCCTTTCATAGAGCAGGTTTGAAACACTCTTTTTGTAGTATCTGGATGTGGACATTTGGAGCGCTTTCAGGCCTATGGTTTAAAAGGAAATATCTTCCCCTGAAAACTAGACAGAAGCATTCTCAGAAACTTATTTGTGATGTGCGCCCTCAACTAACAGTGTTGAAGCATTCTTTTGATAGAGCAGTTTTGAAACACTCTTTTTGTGGAATCTGCAAGTGGATATTTGTCTAGCTTTGAGGATTTCGTTGGAAACGGGATTACATATAAAAAGCAGACAGCAGCATTCTCAGAAACTTATTTGTGATGTGCGCCCTCAACTAACAGTGTTGAACCTTTCTTTTGATAGAGCAGTTTTGAAACACTCTTTTTGCAATATCTGCAAGAGGATATTTGGATAGCTTTGAGGATTTCGTTGGAAACGGGATTGTCTTCATATAAACTCTAGACAGAAGCATTCTCAGAAGCTTCATTGGGATGTTTCAATTGAAGTCACAGTGTTGAACAGTTCCTTTCATAGAACAGGTTTGAAACACTCTTTTTGTAGTATCTGGAAGTGAACATTTGGAGCACTCTCAGGACTGCGGTGAAAAAGGAAATATCTTCCAATAAAAGCTAGATAGAAGCAATGTCAGAAACTTTTTCATGATGTATCTACTCAGCTAACAGAGTTGAACCTTCCTTTGAGAGAGCAGTTTTGAAACACTCTTTTTGTGGAATCTGCAAGTGGATATTTGTCTAGCTTTGAGGATTTCGCTGGAAACGGGATTACATATAAAAAGCAGACAGCAGCATTCCCAGAAACTTCTTTGTGTTGTTTGCATTCAAGTCACAGAGTTTAACATTCCCTTTCATAGAGCAGGTTTGAAACACTCTTTTTGTAGTATCTGGATGTGGACATTTGCAGCGCTTTCAGGCCTAAGGTGAAAAAGGAAATATCTTCCCCTGAAAACTAGACAGAAGCATTCTCAGAAACTTATTTGTGATGTGCGCCCTCAACTAACAGTGTTGAAGCTTTCTTTTGATAGAGCAGATTTGAAACACTCTTTTTGTAAAATCTGCAAGAGGATATTTGCATAGCTTTGAGGATTTCATTGGAAACGGGATTGTCTTCAAATAAACTCTAGACAGAAGCATTCTCAGAAGCTTCATTGGGATGTTTCAATTGAAGTCACAGTGTTGAACAGTCCCTTTCATAGAGCAGGTTTGAAACACTCTTTTTGTAGTATCTGGATGTGGACATTTGGAGCGATTTCAGGCCTATGGTTTAAAAGGAAATATCTTCCCCTGAAAACTAGACAGAAGCGTTCTCAGAAACTTACTTGTGATGTGCGCCCTCAACTAACAGTGTTGAACCTTTCTTTTGATAGAGCAGTTTTGAAACACTCTTTTTGTAATATCTGCAAGAGGATATTTGGATAGCTTTGAGGATTTCGTTGGAAACGGGATTACATATAAAAAGCAGACAGCAGCATTCTCAGTAAACTTATTTGTGATGTGCGCCCTCAACTAACAGTGTTGAACCTTTCTTTTGATAGAGCAGTTTTGAAACACTCTTTTTGTAATATCTGCAAGAGGATATTTGGATAGCTTTGAGGATTTCGTTGGAAACGGGATTGTCTTCATATAAACTCTAGACAGAAGCATTCTCAGAAGCTTCATTGGGATGTTTCAATTGAAGTCACAGTGTTGAACAGTTCCTTTCATAGAACAGGTTTGAAACACTCTTTTTGTAGTATCTGGAAGTGGACATTTGGAGCGCTCTCAGGACTACGGTGAAAATGGAAATATCTTACAATAAAAGCTACATAGAAGCAATGTCAGAAACTTTTTCATGATGTATCTACTCAGCTAACAGAGTTGAACCTTTCTTTTGAGAGAGCAGTTTTGAAACACTCTTTTTGTGGAATCTGCAAGTGGATATTTGTCTAGCTTTGAGGATTTCGTTGGAAACGGGATTACATATAAAAAGCAGACAGCAGCATTCCCAGAATCTTCTTTGTGATGTTTGCATTCAAGTCACAGAGTTGAACATTCCCTTTCATAGAGCAGGTTAGAAACACTCTTTTTGTAGTATCTGGATGTGGACATTTGGAGCGCTTTCAGGCCTATGGTGAAAAAGGGAAATATCTTCTCCTGAAAACTAGACAGAAGCATTCTCAGAATCTTATTTGTGATGTGCGCCCTCAACTAACAGTGTTGAAGCTTTCTTTTGATAGAGCAGTTTTGAAACACTCTTTTTGTAAAATCTGCAAGAGGATATTTGGATAGCTTTGAGGATTTCGTTGGAAACGGGATTGTCTTCATATAAACTCCAGACAGAAGCATTCTCAGAAGCTTCATTGGGATGTTTCAATTGAAGTCACAGTGTTGAACAGTCCCTTTCATAGAGCAGGTTTGAAACACTCTTTTTGTAGTATCTGGAAGTGGACATTTGGAGCTTTCTCAGGACTACGGTGAAAAAGGAAATATCTTCCAATAAAAGCTAGATAGAAGCATTCTCAGAAACTTATTTGTGATGTGCGCCCTCAACTAACAGTGTTGAAGCATTCCTTTGATAGAGCAGTTTTGAAACACTCTTTTTGTGGAATCTGCAAGTGGATATTTGTCTATCTTTGAGGATTTCGTTGGAAACGGGATTATATATAAAAAGCAGACAGCAGCATTCTCAGAAACTTATTTGTGATGTGCGCCCTCAACTAACAGTGTTGAAGCTTTATTTTGATAGAGCAGTTTTGAAACACTCTTTTTGTAATATCTGCAAGAGAATATTTGGATAGCTTTGAGGATTTCGTTGGAAACGGGATTGTCTTCATATAAACTCTAGAAAGAAGCATTCTCAGAAGCTTCATTGGGATGTTTCAATTGAAGTCACAGTGTTGAACAGTCCCTTTCATAGAGCAGGCTTGAAACACTCTTTTTGTAGTATCTGGAAGTGGACATTTGGAGCGTTCTGAGGACTACGGTGAAAAAGGAAATATCTTCCAATAAAAGCTAGATAGAAAGCAATGTCAGAAACTTTTTCATGATGTATCTACTCAGCTAACAGAGTTGAACCTTTCCTTTGAGAGAGCAGTTTTGAAACACTCTTTTTGTGGAATCTGCAAGTGGATATTTGTCTAGCTTTGAGGATTTCTTTGGAAACGGGATTACATATAAAAAGCAGACAGCAGCATTCCCAGTAACTTGTTTGTGATGTTTGCATTCAAGTCACAGAGTTGAACATTCCCTTTCATAGAGCAGGTTTGAAACACTCTTTTTGTAGTATCTGGATGTGGACATTTGGAGCGCTTTCAGGCCTATGGTGAAAAAGGAAATATCTAACCCCTGAAAACTAGACAGAAGTATTCTCAGAAACTTATTTGTGATGTGCGCCCTCAACTAACAGTGTTGAAGCTTTGTTTTGATAGAGCAGTTTTGAAACATTCTTTTTGTAAAATCTGCAAGAGGATATTTGGATAGGTTTGAGGATTTCGTTGGAAACGGGATTGTCTTCATATTAACCCTAGACAGTAGCATTCTCAGAAGCGTCATTGGGATGTTTCAATTGAAGTCACAGTGTTGAACAGTCCCTTTCATAGAGCAGGTGTGAAACACTCTTTTTGTAGTATCTGGATGTGGACATTTGGAGCGCTTTCAGGCCTATGGTTTAAAAGGAAATATCTTCCCCTGAAAACTAGACAGAAGCATTCTCAGAAACTTATTTGTGATGTGCGCCCTCAACTAACATTGTTGAAGCATTCTTTTGATAGAGCAGTTTTGAAACACTCTTTTTGTGGAATCTGCAAGTTGATATTTGTCTAGCTTTGAGGATTTCGTTGGAAACGGGATTACATATAAAAAGCAGACAGCAGCATTCTCAGAAACTTATTTGTGATGTGTGCCCTCAACTAACAGTGTTGAACCTTTCTTTTGATAGAGCAGTTTTGAAACACTCTTTTTGTAAAATCTGCAAGAGGATATTTGCATAGATTTGAGGATTTCGTTGGAAACGGGATTGTCTTCATATAAAATCTAGACAGAAGCATTCTCAGAAGCTTCATTGGGATGTTTCAATTGAAGTCACAGTGTTGAACAGTCCCTTTCATAGAGCAGGTTTGAAACACTCTTTTTGTAGTATCTGGAAGTGGACATTTGGAGCGTTCTCAGGACTACGGTGAAAAAGGAAATATCTTCCAATAAAAGCTAGATAGAAGGAATGTCAGAAAATTTTTCATGATGTATCTACTCAGCTAACAGAGTTGAACCTTTCTTTTGAGAGAGCCGTTTTGAAACACTCTTTTTGTGGAATCTGCAAGTGGATATTTGTCTAGCTTTGAGGATTTTGTTGGAAACGGGATTACATATAAAAAGCAGACAGCAGCATTCCCAGAAACTTCTTTGTGATGTTTGCATTCAAGTCACAGAGTTGAACATTCCCTTTCATAGAGCAGGTTTGAAACACTCTTTTTGTAGTATCTGGATGTGGACATTTGGAGCGCTTTCAGGCCTATGGTGAAAAAGGAAATATCTTCCCCTGAAAACTAGACAGAAGCATTCTCAGAAACTTATTTGTGATGTGCGCCCTCAACTAACAGTGTTGAAGCTTTCTTTTGATAGAGCAGTTTTGAAACACTCTTTTTGTAATATCTGCAAGAGGATATTTGGATAGCTTTGAGGATTTCGTTGGAAACGAGATTGTCTTCATATAAACTCTAGACAGAAGCATTCTCAGATGCTTCATTGGGATGTTTCAATTGAAGTCACAGTGTTGAACAGTCCCTTTCATAGAGCAGGTTTGAAACACTCTTTTTGTAGTATCTGGATGTGGACATTTGGAGCGCTTTCAGGCCTATGGTGAAAAAGGAAATATCTTCCCCTGAAAACTAGACAGAAGCATTCTCAGAAACTTATTTGTGATGTGCGCCCTCAACTAACAGTGTTGAAGCCTTCTTTTGATAGAGCAGTTTTGAAACACTCTTTTTGTGGAATCTGCAAGTGGATATTTGTCTAGCTTTGAGGATTTCGTTGGAAACGGGATTACATATAAAAAGCAGACAGCAGCATTCTCAGCAAACTTATTTGTGATGTGCGCCCTCAACTAACAGTGTGGAACTTTTCTTTTGATAGAGCAGTTTTGAAACACTCTTTTTGTAAAATCTGCAAGAGGATATTTGGATAGCTTTGAGGATTTCGTTGGAAACGGGATTGTCTTCATATAGAATCTAGACAGAAGCATTCTCAGAAGCTTCATTGGGATGTTTCAATTGAAGTCACAGTGTTGAACAGTCCCTTTCATAGAGCAGGTTTGAAACACTCTTTTTGTTGTATCTGGAAGTGGACATTTGGAGAGATCTCAGGAATACGGTGATAAAGGAAATATCTTCCAATAAAAGCTAGATAGAAGCAATGTCAGAAACTTTTTCATGATGTATCTACTCAGCTAACAGAGTTGAACCTTTCTTTTGAGAGAGCAGTTTTGAAACACTCTTTTTGTGGAATCTGCAAGTGGATATTTGTCTAGCTTTGAGGATTTCGTTGGAAACGGGATTACATATAAAAAGCAGACAGCAGCATTCCCAGTAACTTCTTTGTGAGGTTTGCATTCAAGTGACAGAGTTGAACATTCCCTTTCATAGAGCAGGTTTGAAACACTCTTTTTGTAGTATCTGGATGTGGACATTTGGAGCGCTTTCAGGCCTATGGTGAAAAAGGAAATATCTTCCAATAAAAGCTACATAGAAGCATTCTCAGAATCTTATTTGTGATGTGCGCCCTCAACTAACAGTGTTGAAGCTTTCTTTTGATAGAGCAGTTTTGAAACATTCTTTTCGTAAAATCTGCAAGAGGATATTTTGATAGCTTTGAGGATTTCGTTGGAAACGGGATTGTCTTCATATAAACTCTAGACAGAAGCATTCTCAGAAGCTTCATTGGGATGTTTCAATTGAAGTCACAGTGTTGAACAGTCCCTTTCATAGAGCAGGTTTGAAACACTCTTTTTGTAGTATCTGGATGTGGACATTTGGAGCGCTTTCAGGCCTATGGTGAAAAAGGAAATATCTTCCCCTGAAAACTAGACAGAAGCATTCTCAGAAACTTATTTGTGATGTGCGCCCTCAACTAACAGTGTTGAAGCTTTCTCTTGATAGAGCAGTTTTGAAACACTCTTTTTGTGGAATCTGCACGTGGATATTTGTACTAGCTTTGAGGATTTCGTTGGAAACGGGATTACATATAAAAAGCAGACAGCAGCATTCTCAGCAAACTTATTTGTGATGTGCGCCCTCAACTAACAGTGTGGAACTTTTCTTTTGATAGAGCAGTTTTGAAACACTCTTTTTGTAAAATCTGCAAGAGGATATTTGGATAGCTTTGAGGATTTCGTTGGAAACGGGATTGTCTTCATATAGAATCTAGACAGAAGCATTCTCAGAAGCGTCATTGGGATGTTTCAATTGAAGTCGCAGTGTTGAACATTCCCTTTCATAGAGCAGGTTTGAAACACTCTTTTTGTAGTATCTGGATGTGGACATTTGGAGCGCTTTCAGGCCTATGGTGAAAAAGGAAATATCTTCCAATAAAAGCTACATAGAAGCAATGTCAGAAACTTTTTCATGATGTATCTACACAGCTAAAAGAGTTGAACCTTTCTTTTGAGAGAGCAGTTTTGAAACACTCTTTTTGTGGAATCTGCAAGTGGATATTTGTCTAGCTTTGAGGATTTCGTTGGAAACGGGATTACATATCAAAAGCAGACAGCAGCATTCACAGAAACTGTTTTTTGATGTTTGCATTCAAGTCACAGAGTTGAACATTCCTTTTCACAGAGCAGGTTTGAAACACTCTTTTTGTAGTATCTGGATGTGGACATTTGGAGCGCTTTCAGGCCTATGGTGAAAAAGGAAATATCTTCCCCTGAAAACTAGACAGAAGCATACTCAGAAACTTATTTGTGATGTGCGCCCTCAACTAACAGTGTTGAAACTTTCTGTTGATAGAGCAGTTTTGAAACACTCTTTTTGTAAAATCTGCAAAAATATATTTGGATAGCTTTGAGGATTTCGTTGGAAACGGGATTGTCTTCATATAAACTCTAGACAGAAGCATTCTCAGAAGCGTCATTGGGATGTTTCAATTGAAGTCACAGTGTTGAACAGTCCCTTTCATAGAGCAGGTTTGAAACACTCTTTTTGTAGTATCTGGATGTGGACATTTGGAGCGCTTTAAGCCTATGGTTTAAAAGGAAATATCTTCCCCTGAAAACTAGACAGAAGCATTCTCAGAAACTTATTTGTGATGTGCGCCCTCAACTAACAGTGTTGAAGCTTTCTTTTGATAGAGCAGTTTTGAAACACTCTTTTTGTGGAATCTGCAAGTGGATATTTGTCTAGCTTTGAGGATTTCGTTGGAAACGGGATTACATATAAAAAGCAGACAGCAGCATTCTCAGTAAACTTATTTGTGATGTGCGCCCTCAACTAACAGTGTTGAACCTTTCTTTTGATAGAGCAGTTTTGAAACACTCTTTTTGTAATATCTGCAAGAGGATATTTGGATAGCTTTGAGGATTTCGTTGGAAACGGGATTGTCTTCATATAAACTCTAGACAGAAGCATTCTCAGAAGCTTCATTGGGATGTTTCAATTGAAGTCACAGTGTTGACCAGTCCCTTTCATAGAGCAGGTTTGAAACACTCTTTTTGTAGTATCTGGAAGTGGACATTTGGAGAGATCTCAGGAATACGGTGATAAAGGAAATATCTTCCAATAAAAGCTAGATAGAAGCAATGTCAGAAACTTTTTCATGATGTATCTACTCAGCTAACAGAGTTGAACCTTTCTTTTGAGAGAGCAGTTTTGAAACACTCTTTTTGTGGAATCTGCAAGTGGATATTTGTCTAGCTTTGAGGATTTCGTTGGAAACGGGATTACATATAAAAAGCAGACAGCAGCATTCCCAGAAACTTCTTTGTGATGTTTGCATTCAAGTCACAGAGTTGAACATTCCCTTTCATACAGCAGGTTTGAAACACTCTTTTTGTAGTATCTGGATGTGGACATTTGGAGCGCTTTCAGGCCTAAGGTGAAAAAGGAAATATCTTCCCCTGAAAACTAGACAGAAGCATTCTCAGAAACTTATTTGTGATGTGCGCCCTCAACTAACAGTGTTGAAGCTTTCTTTTGATAGAGCAGTTTTGAAACACTCTTTTTGTAATATCTGCAAGAGGATATTTGGATAGCTTTGAGGATTTCGTTGGAAACGGGATTGTCTTCATATAAACTCTAGACAGAAGCATTCTCAGAAGCGTCATTGGGATGTTTCAATTGAAGTCACAGTGTTGAACAGTCCCTTTCATAGAGCAGGTTTGAAACACTCTTTTTGTAGTATCTGGATGTGGACATTTGGAGCGCTTTCAGGCCTATGGTTTAAAAGGAAATATCTTCCCCTGAAAACTAGACAGAAGCATTCTCAGAAACTTATTTGTGATGTGCGCCCTCAACTAACAGTGTTGGAGCTTTCTTTTGATAGAGCAGTTTTGAAACACTCTTTTTGTAATATCTGCAAGAGGATATTTGGATAGCTTTGAGGATTTCGTTGGAAACGGGATTAATTATAAAAAGCAGACAGCAGCATTCTCAGAATCTTATTTGTGATGTGCGCCCTCAACTAACACTGTTGAAGCTTTCTTTTGATAGAGCAGTTTTGAAACACTCTTTTTGTAAAATCTGCAAGAGGATATTTGGATAGCTTTGAGGATTTCGTTGGAAACGGGATTGTCTTCATATAAACTCTAGACAGAAGCATTCTCAGAAGCTTCATTGGGATGTTTCAATTGAAGTCACAGTGTTGAACAGTCCCTTTCATAGAGCAGGTTTGAAACACTCTTTTTGTAGTATCTGGAAGTGGACATTTGGAGAGATCTCAGGAATACGGTGATAAAGGAAATATCTTCCAATAAAAGCTAGATAGAAGCAATGTCAGAAACTTTTTCATGATGTATCTACTCAGCTAACAGAGTTGAACCTTTCTTTTGAGAGAGCAGTTTTGAAACACTCTTTTTGTGGAATCTGGAAGTGGATATTTGTCTAGCGTTGAGGATTTCGTTGGAAACGGGATTACATATAAAAAGCAGACAGCAGCATTCCCAGTAACTTCTTTGTGATGTTTGCATTCAAGTCACAGAGTTGAACATTCCCTTTCATAGAGCAGGTTTGAAACACTTTTTTTGTAGTATCTGGATGTGGACATTTGGAGCGCTTTCAGGCCTATGGTGAAAAAGGAAATATCTTCCAATAAAAGCTACATAGAAGCATTCTCAGAATCTTATTTGTGATGTGCGCCCTCAACTAACAGTGTTGAAGCTTTCTTTTGATACAGCAGTTTTGAAACACTCTTTTTGTAAAATCTGCAAGAGGATATTTGGATAGCTTTGAGGATTTCTTTGGAAACGGGATTGTCTTCATATAAACTCTAGACAGAAGCATTCTCAGAAGCTTCATTGGGATGTTTCAATTGAAGTCACAGTGTTGAACAGTCCCTTTCATAGAGCAGGTTTGAAACACTCTTTTTGTAGTATCTGGATGTGGACATTTGGAGCGCTTTCAGGCCTATGGTTTAAAAGGAAATATCTTCCCCTGAAAACTAGACAGAAGCATTCTCAGAAACTTATTTGTGATGTGCGCCCTCAACTAACAGTGTTGAAGCATTCTTTTGATAGAGCAGTTTTGAAACACTCTTTTTGTGGAATCTGCAAGTGGATGTTTGTCTAGCTTTGAGGATTTCGTTGGAAACGGGATTACATATAAAAAGCAGACAGCAGCATTCTCACGAAACTTATTTGTGATGTGCGCCCTCAACTAACAGTGTTGAAGCTTTCTTTTGATAGAGCAGTTTTGAAACACTCTTTTTGTAATATCTGCAAGAGGATATTTGGATAGCTTTAAGGATTTCGTTGGAAACGGGATTGTCTTCATATAAACTCTAGACAGAAGCATTCTCAGAAGCTTCATTGGGATGTTTCAATTGAAGTCACAGTGTTGAACAGTCCCTTTCATAGAGCAGGTTTGAAACACTCTTTTTGTAGTATCTGGAAGTGGACATTTGGAGAGATCTCAGGAATACGGTGATAAAGGAAATATCTTCCAATAAAAGCTAGATAGAAGTAATGTCAGAAACTTTTTCATGATGTATCTACTCAGCTAACAGAGTTGAACCTTTCTTTTGAGAGAGCAGTTTTGAAACACTCTTTTTGTGGAATCTGCAAGTGGATATTTGTCTAGCTTTGAGGATTTCGTTGGAAACGGGATTACATATAAAAAGCTGACAGCAGCATTCCCAGAAACTTCTTTGTGAAGTTTGCATTCAAGTCACAGAGTTGAACATTCCCTTTCATAGAGCAGGTTTGAAACACTCTTTTTGTAGTATCTGTATGTGGACATTTGGAGCGCTTTCAGGCCTATGGTGAAGAAGGAAATATCTTCCCCTGAAAACTAGACAGAAGCATTCTCAGAAACTTATTTGTGATGTACTCCCTCAACTAACAGTGTTGAACCTTTCTTTTGATAGAGCAGTTTTGAAACACTCTTTTTGTAATATCTGCAAGAGGATATTTGGATAGCTTTGAGGATTTCGTTGGAAACGGGATTGTCTTCATATAAACTCTAGACAGAAGCATTCTCAGAAGCTTCATTGGGATGTTTCAATTGAAGTCACAGTGTTGAACAGTCCCTTTCATAGAGCAGGTTTGAAACACTCTTTTTGTAGTATCTGGATGTGGACATTTGGAGCGCTTTCAGGCCTATGGTGAAAAAGGAAATATCTTCCCCTGAAAACTAGACAGAAGCATTCTCAGAAACTTATTTGTGATGTGCGCCCTCAACTAACAGTGTTGAAGCTTTCTTTTGATAGAGCAGTTTTGAAACACTCTTTTTGTGGAATCTGCAAGTGGATATTTGTCTAGCTTTGAGGATTTCGTTGGAAACGGGATTACATATAAAAAGCAGACAGCAGCATTCTCAGCAAACTTATTTGTGATGTGCGCCCTCAACTAACAGTGTGGAACTTTTCTTTTGATAGAGCAGTTTTGAAACACTCTTTTTGTAAAATCTGCAAGAGGATATTTGGATAGCTTTGAGGATTTCGTTGGAAACGGGATTGTCTTCATATAGAATCTAGACAGAAGTATTCTCAGAAGCTTCATTGGGATGTTTCAATTGAAGTCACAGTGTTGAACAGTCCCTTTCATAGAGCAGGTTTGAAACACTCTTTTTGTAGTATCTGGAAGTGGACATTTGGAGCGCTCTCAGGACTACGGTGAAAAAGGAAATATCTTCCAATAAAAGCTACATAGAAGCAATGTCAGAAACTTTTTCATGATGTATCTACTCAGCTTACAGAGTTGAACCTTTCTTTTGAGAGAGCAGTTTTGAAACACTCCTTTTGTAAAATCTGCAAGAGGATATTTGGATAGCTTTGAGGATTTCGTTGGAAACGGGATTCTCTTCATATAAACTCTAGACAGAAGCATTCCCAGATAACTTCTTTTGTGATAGATTTGCATTCTCAAGTCACAGAGTTGAACATTCCCTTTCATAGAGCAGGTTTGAAACACTCTTTTTGTAGTATCTGGATGTGGACCTTTGCAGCGCTTTCAGGCCTATGGTGAAAAAGGAAATATCTTCCCCTGAAAACTAGACAGAAGCATTCTCAGAATCTTATTTGTGATGTGCGCCCTCAACTAACAGAGTTGAAGCTTTCTTTTGATAGAGCAGTTTTGAAACACTCTTTTTGTAAAATCTGCAAGAGGATATTTGGATAGCTTTGAGGATTTCGTTGGAAACGGGATTGTCTTCATATAAACTCTAGACAGAAGCATTCTCAGTAAGCTTCATTGGGATGTTTCAATTGAAGTTACAGTGTTGAACAGTCCCTTTCATAGAGCAGGTTTCAAACACTCTTTTTGTAGTATCTGGATGTGGACATTTGGAGCGCTTTCAGGCCTATGGTTTAAAAGGAAATATCTTCCCCTGAAAACTAGACAGAAGCATTCTCAGAAACTTATTTGTGATGTGCGCCTTCAACTAACAGTGTTGAAGCATTCTTTTGATAGAGCAGTTTTGAAACACTCTTTTTGTGGAATCTGCAAGTGGATATTTGTCTAGCTTTGAGGATTTCGTTGGAAACGGGATTACATATAAAAAGCAGACAGCAGCATTCTCAGAAACTTATTTGTCATGTGCGCCCTCAACTAACAGTGTTGAACTTTTCTTTTGATAGAGCAGTTTTGAAACACTCTTTTTGTAAAATCTGCAAGAGGATATTCGGATAGCTTTGAGGATTTCGTTGGAAACGGGATTGTCTTCATATAAAATCTAGACAGAAGCATTCTCAGAAGCTTCATTGGGATGTTTCAATTGAAGTCACAGTGTTGAACAGTCCCTTTCATAGAGCATGTTTGAAACAATCTTTTTGTAGTATCTGGAAGTGGACATTTGGAGCGCTCTCAGGACTACGGTGAAAAAGGAAATATCTTCCAAATAAAGCTAGATAGAAGCAATGTCAGAAAATTTTTCATGATGTATCTATTCAGCTAACAGAGTTGAACCTTTCTTTTGACAGAGCAGTTTTGAAACACTCTTTTTGTGGAATCTGCAAGTGGATATTTGTCTAGCTTTGAGGATTTCGTTGGAAACGGGATTACATATAAAAAGCAGACAGCAGCATTCCCAAAAACTTCTTTGTGATGTTTGCATTCAAGTCCCAGAGTTGAACATTCCCTTTCATAGAGCAGGTTTGAAACACTCTTTTTGTAGTATCTGGATGTGGACATTTGGAGCGCTTTCAGGCCTATGGTGAAAAAGGAAATATCTTCCTCTGAAAACTAGACAGAAGCATTCTCAGAATCTTATTTGTGATGTGCGCACTCAACTAACAGTGTTGAAGCTTTCTTTTGATAGAGCAGTTTTGAAACACTCTTTTTGTAAAATCTGCAAGAGGATATTTGGATAGCTTTGAGGATTTCGTTGGAAACGGGATTGTCTTCATATAAACTCTAGACAGAAGCATTCTCAGAAGCTTCATTGGGATGTTTCAATTGAAGTCACAGTGTTGAACAGTCCCTTTCATAGAGCAGGTTTCAAACACTCTTTTTGTAGTATCTGGATGTGGACATTTGGAGCGCTTTCAGGCCTATGGTTTAAAAGGAAATATCTTCCCCTGAAAACTAGACAGAAGCATTCTCAGAAACTTATTTGTGATGTGCGCCCTCAACTAACAGTGTTGAAGCATTCTTTTCATAGAGCAGTATTGAAACACTCTTTTTGTGGAATCTGCAAGTGGATATTTGTCTAGCTTTGAGGATTTCGTTGGAAACGGGATTACATATAAAAAGCAGACAGCAGCATTCTCAGTAAACTTATTTGTGATGTGCGCCCTCAACTAACAGTGTTGAACCTTTCTTTTGATAGAGCAGTTTTGAAACACTCTTTTTGTAATATCTGCAAGAGGATATTTGGATAGCTTTGAGGATTTCGTTGGAAACGGGATTGTCTTCATATAAACTCTAGACAGAAGCATTCCCAGAAACTTCTTTGTGAAGTTTGCATTCAAGTCACAGAGTTGAACATTCCCTTTCATAGAGGAGGTTTGAAACACTCTTTTTGTAGTATCTGGATGTGGACATTTGGAGCGCTTTCAAGCCTATGGTGAAAAAGGAAATATCTTCCCCTAAAAGCTAGATAGAAGCAATGTCAGAAACTTTTTCATGATGTACCTACTCAGCTAACAGAGTTGAACCTTTCTTTTGAGAGAGCAGTTTTGAAACACTCTTTTTGTGGAATCTGCAAGTGGATATTTGTCTAGCTTTGAGGATTTCGTTGGAAACGGGATTACATATAAAAAGCAGACAGCAGCATTCCCAGAAACTTCTTTGTGATGTTTGCATTCAAGTCACAGAGTTGAACATTCCCTTTCATAGAGCAGGTTTGAAACACTCTTTTTGTAGTATCTGGATGTGGACATTTGGAGCGCTTTCAGGCCTATGGTGAAAAAGGAAATATCTTCCCCTGAAAACTAGACAGAAGCATTCTCAGAAACTTATTTGTGATGTGCGCCCTCAACTAACAGTGTTGAACCTTTCTGTTGATAGAGCAGTTTTGAAACACTCTTTTTGTAAAATCTGCAAGAGGATATTTGGATAGCTTTGAGGATTTCGCTTGGAAACGGGATTGTCTTCATATAGAATCTAGACAGAAGCATTCTCAGAAGCTTCATTGGGATGTTTCAATTGAAGTCACAGTGTTGAACAGTCCCTTTCATAGAGCAGGTTTGAAACACTCTTTTTGTAGTATCTGGATGTGGACATTTGGAGCGCTTTCAGGCCTATGGTGAAAAAGGAAATATCTTCCCCTGAAAACTAGACAGAAGCATTCTCAGAAACTTATTTGTGATGTGCGCCCTCAACTAACAGTGTTGAAGCTTTCTTTTGATAGAGCAGTTTTGAAACACTCTTTTTGTGGAATCTGCAAGTGGATATTTGTCTAGCTTTGAGGATTTCGTTGGAAACGGGATTACATATAAAAAGCAGACAGCAGCATTCTCAGAAACTTATTTGTGATGTGCGCCCTCAACTAACAGTGTTGAAGCTTTCTTTTGATAGAGCAGTTTTGAAACACTCTTTTTGTAATATCTGCAAGAGGATATTTGGATAGCTTTGAGGATTTCGTTGGAAACGGGATTAATTATACAAAGCAGACAGCAGCATTCTCAGAAGCTTCGTTGGGATGTTTCAATTGAAGTCACAGTGTTGAACAGTTCCTTTCATAGAACAGGTTTGAAACACTCTTTTTGTAGTATCTGGAAGTGGACATTTGGAGCGCTCTCAGGACTGCGGTGAAAAAGGATATATCTTCCAATAAAAGCTAGATAGAAGCAATGTCAGAAACTTTTTCATGATGTATCTACTCAGCAAACAGAGTTGAACCTTTCTTTTGAGAGAGCAGTTTTGAAACACTCTTTTTGTGGAATCTGCAAGTGGATATTTGTCTAGCTTTGAGGATTTCGTTGGAAACGGGATTACATATAAAAAGCAGACAGCAGCATTCCCAGAAACTTCTTTGTGATGTTTGCATTCAAGTCACAGAGTTGAAAATTCCCTTTCATAGAGCAGGTTTGAAACACTCTTTTTGTAGTATCTGGATGTGGACATTTGCAGCGCTTTCAGGCCTAAGGTGAAAAAGGAAATATCTTCCCCTGAAAACTAGACAGAAGCATTCTCAGAAACTTATTTGTGATGTGCGCCCTCAACTAACAGTGTTGAAGCTTTCTTTTGATAGAGCAGTTTTGAAACACTCTTTTTGTAATATCTGCAAGAGGATATTTGGATAGCTTTGAGGATTTCGTTGGAAACGGGATTGTCTTCATATAAACTCTAGACAGAAGCATTCTCAGAAGCTTCATTGGGATGTTTCAATTGAAGTCACAGTGTTGAACAGTCCCTTTGATAGAGCAGGTTTGAAACACTCTTTTTGTAGTATCTGGATGTGGACATTTGCAGCGCTTTCAGGCATAAGGTGAAAAAGGAAATACCTTCCCCTGAAAACTAGACAGAAGCATTCTCAGAAACTTATTTGTGATGTGCGCCCTCAACTAACAGTGTTGAAGCTTTCTTTTGATAGAGCAGTTTTGAAACACTCTTTTTGTAATATCTGCAAGAGGATATTTGGATAGCTTTGAGGATATCGTTGGAAACGGAATTAATTATAAAAAGCAGACAGCAGCATTCTCAGAATCTTATTTGTGATGTGCGCCCTCAACTAACAGTGTTGAAGCTTTCTTTTGATAGAGCAGTTTTGAAACACTCTTTTTGTGAAATCTGCAAGAGGATATTTGGATAGATTTGAGGATTTCGTTGGAAACGGTATTGTCTTCATATAAACTCTAGACAGAAGCATTCTCAGAAGCTTCATTGGGATGTTTCAATTGAAGTCACAGTGTTGAACAGTCCCTTTCATAGAGCAGGTTTGAAACACTCTTTTTGTAGTATCTGGAAGTGGACATTTGGAGCGCTCTCAGGACTGCGGTGAAAAAGGAAATATCTTCCAATAAAAGCTAGATAGAAGCAATGTCAGAAACTTTTTCATGATGTATCTACTCAGCTAACAGAGTTGAACCTTCCTTTGAGAGAGCAGTTTTGAAACACTCTTTTTGTGGAATCTGCAAGGGGATATTTGCCTAGCTTTGAGGATTTCGTTGGAAACGGGATTACATATAAAAAGCAGACAGCAGCATTCCCAGTAACTTGTTTGTGATGTTTGCATTCAAGTCAGAGAGTTGAACATTCCCTTTCATAGAGCAGGTTTGAAACACTCTTTTTGAAGTATCTGGATGTGGACATTTGGAGCGCTTTCAGGCCTATGGTGAAAAAGGAAATATCTTCCCCTGAAAACTAGACAGAAGCATTCTCAGAAACTTATTTGTGATGTGCGCCCTCAACTAACAGTGTTGAACCTTTCTTTTGATAGAGCAGTTTTGAAACACTCTTTTTGTAATATCTGCAAGAGGATATTTGGATAGCTTTGAGGATTTCGTTGGAAACGGGATTGTCTTCATATAAACTCTAGACAGAAGCATTCTCAGTAAGCTTCATTGGGATGTTTCAATTGAAGTCACAGTGTTGAACAGTCCCTTTGATAGAGCAGGTTTGAAACACTCTTTTTGTAGTATCTGGATGTGGACATTTGCAGCGCTTTCAGGCATAAGGTGAAAAAGGAAATATCTTCCCCTGAAAACTAGACAGAAGCATTCTCAGAAACTTATTTGTGATGTGCGCCCTCAACTAACAGTGTTGAAGCTTTCTTTTGATAGAGCAGTTTTGAAACACTCTTTTTGTGGAATCTGCAAGTGGATATTTTTCTAGCTTTGAGGATTTCGTTGGAAACGGGATTACATATAAAAAGCAGACAGCAGCATTCTCAGAAACTTATTTGTGATGTGCGCCCTCAACTAACAGTGTTGAAGCTTTCTTTTGATAGAGCAGTTTTGAAACACTCTTTTTGTAATATCTGCAAGAGGATATTTGGATAGCTTTGAGGATTTCGTTGGAAACGGGATTAATTATACAAAGCAGACAGCAGCATTCTCAGAAGCTTCATTGGGATGTTTCAATTGAAGTCACAGTGTTGAACAGTCACTTTCATAGAGCAGGTTTGAAACACTCTTTTTGTAGCATCTGGAAGTGGACATTTGGAGCGTTCTCAGGACTACGGTGAAAAAGGAAATATCTTCCAATAAAAGCTAGATAGAAGCAATGTCAGAAACTTTTTCATGATGTATCTACTCAGCTAACAGAGTTGAACCTTTCTTTTGAGGGAGCAGTTTTGATACACTCTTTTTGTGGAATCTGCAAGTGGATATTTGTCTAGCTTTGAGGATTTCGTTGGAAACGGGATTACATATAAAAAGCAGACAGCAGCATTCCCAGTAACTTCTTTGTGATGTTTACATTCAAGTCACAGAGTTGAACATTCCCTTTCATAGAGCAGGTTTGAAACACTCTTTTTGTAGTATCTGGATGTGGACATTTGGAGCGCTTTCAGGCCTATGGTGAAAAAGGAAATATCTTCCACTGAAAACTAGACAGAAGCATTCTCAGAAACTTATTTGTGATGTGCGCCCTCAACTAACAGTGTTGAAGCTTTCTTTTGATAGAGCAGTTTGGAAACACTCTTTTTGTGGAATCTGCAAGAGGATATTTTTCTAGCTTTGAGGATATTGTTGGAAACGGGATTACATATAAAAAGCAGACAGCAGCATTCTCAGTAAACTTATTTGTGATGTGCGCCCTCAACTAACAGTGTTGAACCTTTCTTTTGATAGAGCAGTTTTGAAACACTCTTTTTGTAATATCTGCAAGAGGATATTTGGATAGCTTTGAGGATTTCGTTGGAAACGGGATTGTCTTCATATAAACTCTAGACAGAAGCTTTCTCAGAAACTTCATTGTGATGTTTCAACTGAAGTCACAGTGTTGAACAGTCCCTTTCATAGAGCAGGTTTGAAACACTCTTTTTGTAGTATCTGGAAGTGGACATTTGGAGCGCTCTCAGGACTACTGTGAAAAAGGAAATATCTTCCAATAAAAGCTAGATAGAAGCAATGTCAGAAATTTTTCATGATGTATCTACTCAGCTAACAGAGTTGAACCTTTCTTTTGAGAGACCAGTTTTAAAACACTCTTTTTGGGGAATATGCAAGTGGATATTAGGCCAGCTTGGAGGATTTCGTTGGAAACGGGAATCCATATAAAAAGCAGACAGCAGCATTCCCAGTAACTTCTTTGTGATGTTTGCATTCAAGTCACAAAGTTGAACATTCCCTTTCATAGAGCAGGTTTGAAACACACTTTTTGTAGTATCTGGATGTGGACATTTGGAGCACTTTCAGGCCTATGGTGAAAAAGGAAATATCTTCCCCTGAAAACTAGACAGAAGCATTCTCAGAAACTTATTTGTGATGTGCGCCCTCAACTAACAGTGTTGAACCTTTCTTTTGATAGAGCAGTTTTGAAACACTCTTTTTGTAAAATCTGCAAGAGGATATTTGGAAAGCTTTGAGGATTTCGTTGGAAACGGGATTGTCTTCATATAGAATCTAGACAGAATCATTCTCAGAAGCTTCATTGGGATGTTTCAATTGAAGTCACAGTGTTGAACAGTCCCTTTCATAGAGCAGATTTGAAACACTCTTTTTGTAGTATCTGGAAGTGGACATTTGGAGCGCTCTCAGGACTACGGTGAAAAAGGAAATATCTTCCAAATAAAGCTAGATAGAAGCAATGTCAGAAAATTTCTCATGATGTATCTATTCAGCTAACAGAGTTGAACCTTTCTTTTGACAGAGCAGTTTTGAAACACTCTTTTTGTGGAATCTGCAAGTGGATATTTGTCTACCTTTGAGGATTTCGTTGGAAACGGGATTACATATAAAAAGCAGACAGCAGCATTCCCAGAAACTTCTTTGTGATATTTGCATTCAAGTCACAGACTTGAACATTCCCTTTCATAGAGCAGGTTTGAAACACTCTTTTTGTAGTATCTGGATGTGGACATTTGGAGCGCTTTCAGGCCTATGGTGAAAAAGGAAATATCTTCCCCTGAAAACTAGACAGAAGCATTCTCAGAAACTTATTTGTGATGTGCGCCCTCAACTAACAGTGTTGAAGCTTTCTTTTGATAGAGCAGTTTTGAAACACTCTTTTTGTAAAATCTGCAAGAGGATATTTGGATAGCTTTGAGGATTTCGTTGGAAACGGGATTGTCTTCATATACAATCTAGACAGAAGCATTCTCAGAAGCTTCATTGGGATGTTTCAATTGAAGTCACAGTGTTGAACAGTCCCTTTCGTAGAGCAGGTTTGAAACACTCTTTTTGTAATATCTGGAAGTGGACATTTGGAGCGTTCTCAGCACTATGGTGAAAAAGGAAATATCTTCCAATAAAAGCTAGATAGAAGCAATGTCAGAAACTTTTTCATGATGTATCTACTCAGCTAACAGAGTTGAACCTTTCTTTTGAGAGAGCCGTTTTGAAACACTCTTTTTGTGGAATCTGCAAGTGGATATTTGTCTAGCTTTGAGGATTTCGTTGGAAACGGGATTACATATAAAAAGCAGACAGCAGCATTCCCAGTAACTTCTTTCTGATGTTTGCATTCAAGTCACAGAGTTGAACATTCCCTTTCATAGAGCAGGTTTGAAACACTCTTTTTGAAGTATCTGGATGTGGACATTTGGTGCGCTTTCAGGCCTAAGGTGAAAAAGGAAATATCTTCCCCTGAAAACTAGACAGAAGCATTCTCAGAAACTTATTTGTGATGTGCGCCCTCAACTAACAGTGTTGAAGCTTTCTTTTGATAGAGCAGTTTTGAAACACTCTTTTTGTAATATCTGCAAGAGGATATTTGGATAGCTTTGAGGATTTCGTTGGAAACGGGATTGTCTTCATATAAACTCTAGACAGAAGCATTCTCAGAAGCCTCATTGGGATGTTTCAATTGAAGTCACAGTGTTGAACAGTCCCTTTCATAGAGCAGGTTTGAAACACTCTTTTTGTAGTATCTGGATGTGGACATTTGGAGCGCTTTCAGGCCTATGGTGAAAAAGGAAATATCTTCCTCTGAAAACTAGACAGAAGCATTCTCAGAAACTTATTTGTGATGTGCGCCCTCAACTAACAGTGTTGAAGCATTCTTTTGATAGAGCAGTTTTGAAACACTCTTTTTGTGGAATCTGCAAGTGGATATTTGTCTAGCTTTGAGGATTTCGTTGGAAACGGGATTACATATAAAAAGCAGACAGCAGCATTCTCAGTAAACTTATTTGTGATGTGCGCCCTCAACTAACAGTGTTGAACCTTTCTTTTGATAGAGCAGTTTTGAAACACTCTTTTTGTAATATCTGCAAGAGGATATTTGGATAGCTTTGAGGATTTCGTTGGAAACGGGATTGTCTTCATATAAACTCTAGACAGAAGCATTCTCAGAAGCTTCATTGGGATGTTTCAATTGAAGTCACAGTGTTGAACAGTCCCTTTCATAGAGCAGGTTTGAAACACTCTTTTTGTAGTATCTGGAAGTGGACATTTTGAGAGATCTCAGGAATACGGTGATAAAGGAAATATCTTCCAATAAAAGCTAGATAGAAGCAATGTCAGAAACTTTTTCATGATGTATCTACTCAGCTAAAAGAGTTGAACCTTTCTTTTGAGAGAGCAGTTTTGAAACACTATTTTTGTGGAATCTGCAAGTGGATATTTGTCTAGCTTTGAGGATTTCGTTGGAAACGGGATTACATATAAAAAGCAGACAGCAGCATTCCCAGAAACTTCTTTGTGATGTTTGCATTCAAGTCACAGAGTTGAACATTCCCTTTCATAGAGCAGGTTTGAAACACTCTTTTTGTAGTATCTGGATGTGGACATTTGGAGCGCTTTTAGGCCTATGGTGAAAAAGGAAATATCTTCCCCTGAAAACTAGACAGAAGCATTCTCAGAAACTTATTTGTGATGTGCGCCCTCAACTAACAGTGTTGAACCTTTCTTTTGATAGAGCAGTTTTGAAACACTCTTTTTGTAATATCTGCAAGAGGATATTTGGATAGCTTTGAGGATTTCGTTGGAAACGGAATTGTCTTCATATAAACTCTAGACAGAAGCATTCTCAGAAGCGTCATTAGGATGTTTCAATTGAAGTCACAGTGTTGAACAGTCCCTTTCATAGAGCAGGTTTGAAACACTCTTTTTGTAGTATCTGGATGTGGACATTTGGAGCGCTTTCAGGCCTATGGTTTAAAAGGAAATATCTTCCCCTGAAAACTAGACAGAAGCATTCCCAGTAACTCCTTTGTGATGTTTGCATTCAAGTCACAGAGTTGAACATTCCCTTTCATAGAGCAGGTTTGAAACACTCTTTTTGTAGTATCTGGATGTGGACATTTGGAGCGCTTTCAGGCCTATGGTGAAAAAGGAAATATCTTCCCCTGAAAACTAGACAGAAGCATTCTCAGAATCTTATTTGTGATGTGCGCCCTCAACTAGCAGTGTTGAAGCTTTCTTTTGATAGAGCAGTTTTGAAACACTCTTTTTGTAAAATCTGCAAGAGGATATTTGGATAGCTTTGGGGATTTCGTTGGAAATGGGATTGTCTTAATATAAACTCTAGACAGAAGCATTCTCAGAAGCTTCATTGGGATGTTTCAATTGAAGTCACAGTGTTGAACAGTCCCTTTCATAGAGCAGGTTTGAAACACTCTTTTTGTAGTATCTGGAAGTGGACATTTGGAGCGCTCTCAGGACTGCGGTGAAAAAGGAAATATCTTCCAATAAAAGCTAGATAGAAGCAATGACGGAAACTTTTTCATGATGTATCTACTCAGCTAACAGAGTTGAACCTTCATTTGAGAGAGCAGTTTTGAAACACTCGTTTTGTGGAATCTGCAAGTGGATATTTGTCTAGCTTTGAGGATTTCGTTGGAAACGGGATTACATATAAAAAGCAGACAACAGCATTCCCAGAAACTTCTTTTTGATGTTTGCATTCAAGTCACAGAGTTGAACATTCCCTTTCATAGAGCAGGTTTGAAACACTCTTTTTGTAGTATCTGGATGTGGACATTTGCAGCGCTTTCAGGCCTAAGGTGAAAAAGGAAATATCTTCCCCTGAAAACTAGACAGAAGCATTCTCAGAAACTTATTTGTGATGTGCGCCCTCAACTAACAGTGTTGAACCTTTCTTTTGATAGAGCAGTTTTGAAACACTCTTTTTGTAATATCTGCAAGAGGATATTTGGATAGCTTTGAGGATTTCGTTGGAAACGGGATTGTCTTCATATAAACTCTAGACAGAAGCATTCTCAGAAGCTTCATTGGGATGTTTCAATTGAAGTCACAGTGTTGAACAGTTCCTTTCATAGAACAGGTTTGAAACACTCTTTTTGTAGTATCTGGAAGTGGACATTTGGAGCGCTCCCAGGACTATGGTGAAAAAGGAAATATCTTCCAATAAAAGCTACATAGAAGCAATGTCAGAAACTTTTTCATGATGTATCTACTCAGCTAACAGAGTTGAACCTTTCTTTTGAGAGAGCAGTTTTGAAACACTCTTTTTGTGTAATCTGAAAGTGGATATTTGTCTAGCTTTGAGGATTTCGTTGGAAACGGGATTACATATAAAAAGCAGACAGCAGCATTCCCAGAAACTTCTTTGTGATATTTGCATTCAAGTCACAGACTTGAACATTCCCTTTCATAGAGCAGGTTTGAAACACTCTTTTTGTAGTATCTGGATGTGGACATTTGGAGCGCTTTCAGGCCTATGGTGAAAAAGGAAATATCTTCCCCTGAAAACTAAACAGAAGCATTCTCAGAAACTTATTTGTGATGTGCGCCCTCAACTAACAGTGTTGAAGCTTTCTTTTGATAGAGCAGTTTTGAAACACTCTTTTTGTAATATCTGCAAGAGGATATTTGGATAGCTTTGAGGATTTCGTTGGAAACGGGATTGTCTTCATATAAACTCTAGACAGAAGCATTCTCAGAAGCTTCATTGGGATGTTTCAATTGAAGTCACAGTGTTGAACAGTTCCTTTCATAGAACAGGTTTGAAACACACTTTTTGTAGTATCTGGAAGTGGACATTTGGAGCGCTCTCAGGACTACGGTGAAAAAGGAAATATCTTCCAATAAAAGCTACATAGAAGCATTCTCAGAAACTTATTTGTGATGTGCGCTTTCAACTAACAGTGTTGAAGCATTCTTTTGATAGAGCAGTTTTGAAACACTCTTTTTGTGGAATCTGCAAGTGGATATTTGTCTAGCTTTGAGGATTTCGTTGGAAACGGGATTACATATAAAAAGCAGACAGCAGCATTCTCAGAAACTTATTTGTGATGTGCGCCCTCAACTAACAGTGTTTAACCTTTCTTTTGATAGAGCAGTTTTGAAACACTCTTTTTGTAATATCTGCAGGAGGATATTTGGATAGCTTTGAGGATTTCGTTGGAAACGGGATTGTCTTCATATAAACTCTAGACAGAAGCATTCTCAGAAGCTTCATTGGGAAGTTTCAATTGAAGTCACAGTGTTGAACAGTTCCTTTCATAGAACAGGTTTCAAACACTCTTTTTGTAGTATCTGGAAGTGGACATTTGGAGCGCTCTCAGGACTACGGTGAAAAAGGAAATATCTTCCAATAAAAGCTACATAGAAGCAATGTCAGAAACTTTTTCATGATGTATCTACTCAGCTAACAGAGTTGAACCTTTCTTTTGAGAGAGCAGTTTTGAAACACTCTTTTTGTGGAATCTGCAAGTGGATATTTGTCTAGCTTTGAGGATTTCGTTGGAAACGGGATTACATATAAAAAGCAGACAGCCGCATTCCCAGAAATTTCTTTGAGATGTTTGCATTCAAGTCACAGATTTGAACATTCCCTTTCTTAGAGGAGCTTTGAAACACTCTTTTTGTAGAATCTGGATGTGGAAATTTGGAGCGCTTTCAGGCCTATGGTGAAAAAGGAAATATCTTCCCCTGAAAACTAGACAGAAGGATTCTCAGAATCTTATTTGTGATGTGCGCCCTCAACTAACAGTGTTGAAGCTTTCTTTTGATAGAGCAGTTTTGAAACACTCTTTTTGTAAAATCTGCAAGAGGATATTTGGATAGCTTTGAGGATTTCGTTGGAAACGGGATTGTCTTCCTATAAACTCTATACAGAAGCATTCTCAGAAGCGTCATTGGGATGTTTCAATTGAAGTCACAGTGTTGAACAGTCCCTTTCATAGAGCAGGTTTGAAACACTCTTTTTGTAGTATCTGGATGTGGACATTTGGAGCGCTTTCAGGCCTATGGTTTAAAAGGAAATATCTTCCCTTGAAAACTAGACAGAAGCATTCTCAGAAACTTATTTGTGATGTGCGCCCTCAACTAACAGTGTTGAAGCTTTCTTTTGATAGAGCAGTTTTGAAACACTCTTTTTGTGGAATCTGCAAGTGGATATTTGTCTAGGTTTGAGGATTTCGTTGGAAACGGGATTACATATAAAAAGCAGACAGCAGCATTCCCAGAAACTTCTTTGTGATGTTTGCATTCAAGTCACAGAGTTGAACATTCCCTTTCAAAGAGCAGGTTTGAAACACTCTTTTTATAGAATCTGGATGTGAACATTTGGAGCGCTTTCAGGCCTATGGTGAAAAAGGAAATATCTTCCCCTGAAAACTAGACAGAAGCATTCTCAGAATCTTATTTGTGATGTGCGCCCTCAACTAACAGTGTTGAAGCTTTCTTTTGATAGAGCAGTTTTGAAACACTCTTTTTGTAAAATCTGCAAGAGGATATTTGGATAGCTTTGAGGATTTCATTGGAAACGGGATTGTCTTCATATAAACTCTAGACAGAAGCATTCTCAGAGGCTTCATTGGGATGTTTCAATTGAAGTCACAGTGTTGAACAGTCCCTTTCATAGAGCAGGTTTGAAACACTCTTTTTGTAGTATCTGGATGTGGACATTTGGAGCGCTCTCAGGACTGCGGTGAAAAAGGAAATATCTTCCAACAAAAGCTAGATAGAAAGCAATGTCAGAAACTTTTTCATGATGTATCTACTCAGCTAACAGAGTTGAACCTTTCCTTTGAGAGAGCAGTTTTGAAACACTCTTTTTGTGGAATCTGCAAGTGGATATTTGTCTAGCTTTGAGGATTTCGTTGGAAACGGGATTACATATAAAAAGCAGACAGCAGCATTCCCAGAAACTTCTTTGTGATGTTTGCATTCAAGTCACAGAGTTGAACATTCCCTTTCATAGAGCAGGTTTGAAACACTCTTTTTGTAGTATCTGGATGTGGACATTTGGAGCGCTTTCAGGCCTATGGTGAAAAAGGAAATATCTTCCCCTGAAAACTAGACAGAAGAATTCTCAGAATCTTATTTGTGATGTGCGCCCTCAACTAACAGTCTTGAAGCTTTCTTTTGATAGAGCAGTTTTGAAACACTCTTTTTGTAAAATCTGCAAGAGGATATTTGGATAGCTTTGAGGATTTCGTTGGAAACGGGATTGTCTTCATATAAACTCTAGACAGAAGCATTCTCAGATGCTTCATTGGGATGTTTCAATTGAAGTCACAGTGTTGAACAGTCCCTTTTATAGAGCAGGTTTGAAACACTCTTTTTGTAGTATCTGGATGTGGACATTTGGAGCGCTTTCAGGCCTATGGTGAAAAAGGAAATATCTTCCCCTGAAAACTAGACAGAAGCATTCTCAGAAACTTATTTGTGATGTGCGCCCTCAACTAACAGTGTTGAAGCTTTCTTTTGATAGAGCAGTTTTGAAACACTCTTTTTGTGGAATCTGCAAGTGGATATTTGTCTAGCTTTGAGGATTTCGTTGGAAACGGGATTATATAAAAAGCAGACAGCAGCATTCTCAGTAAACTTATTTGTGATGTGCGCCCTCAACTAACAGTGTTGAACCTTTCTTTTGATAGAGCAGTTTTGAAACACTCTTTTTGTAATATCTGCAAGAGGATATTTGGATAGCTTTGAGGATTTCGTTGGAAACGGGATTGTCTTCATATAAACTCTAGACAGAAGCATTCTCAGAAGCTTCATTGGGATGTTTCAATTGAAGTCACAGTGTTGAACAGTCCCTTTCATAGAGCAGGTTTGAAACACTCTTTTTGTAGTATCTGGAAGTGGACATTTGGAGCGCTCTCAGGACTATGGTGATAAAGGAAATATCTTCCAATAAAAGCTAGATAGAAGCAATGTCAGAAACTTTTTCATGATGTATCTACTCAGCTAACAGAGTTGAACCTTTCTTTTGAGAGAGCAGTTTTGAAACACTCTTTTTGTGGAATCTGGAAGTGGATATTTGTCTAGCTTTGAGGATTTCGTTGGAAACGGGATTACATATAAAAAGCAGACAGCAGCATTCCCAGAAACTTCTTTGTGACGTTTGCATTCAAGTCACAGAGTTGAACATTCCCTTTCATAGAGCAGGTTTGAAACACTCTTTTTGTAGTATCTGGATGTGGACATTTGGAGCGCTTTCAGGCCTATGGTGAAAAAGGAAATATCTTCCCCTGAAAACTAGACAGAAGCATTCTCAGAAACTTATTTGTGATGTGCGCCCTCAACTAACAGTGTTGAAGCTTTCTTTTGATAGAGCAGTTTTGAAACACTCTTTTTGTAATATCTGCAAGAGGATATTTGGATAGCTTTGAGGATTTCGTTGGAAACGGGATTGTCTTCATATAAACTCTAGGCAGAAGCATTCTCAGAAGCTTCATTGGGATGTTTCAGTTGAAGTCACAGTGTTGAACAGTCCCTTTCATAGAGCAGGTTTGAAACACTCTTTTTGTAGTATCTGGAAGTGGACATTTGGAGCGCTCTCAGGACTGCGGTGAAAAAGGAAATATCTTCCAATAAAAGTTAGATAGAAGCAATGTCAGAAACTTTTTCATGATGTATCTACTCAGCTAACAGAGTTGAACCTTCCTTTGAGAGAGCAGTTTTGAAACACTCTTTTTGTGGAATCTGCAAGTGGATATTTGTCTAGCTTTGAGGATTTCGTTGGAAACGGGATTACATATAAAAAGCAGACAGCAGCGTTCCCAGAAACTTATTTGTGATGTTTGCATTCAAGTCACAGAGTTGAACATTCCCTTTCATAGAGCAGGTTTGAAACACTCTTTTTGTAGTATCTGGTTGTGGACATTTGCAGCGCTTTCAGGCCTATGGTGAAAAAGGAAATATCTTCCCCTGAAAACTAGACAGAAGCATTCTCAGAATCTTATTTGTGATGTGCGCCCTCAACTAACAGTGTTGAAGCTTTCTTTTGATAGAGCAGTTTTGAAACACTCTTTTTGTAAAATCTGCAAGAGGATATTTGGATAGCTTTGAGGATTTCGTTGGAAACGGGATTGTCTTCATATAAACTCTAGACAGAAGCATTCTCAGAAGCGTCATTGGGATGTTTGAATTGAAGTCACAGTGTTGAACAGTCCCTTTCATAGAGCAGGTTTGAAACACTCTTTTTGTAGTATCTGGATGTGGACATTTGGAGCGCTTTCAGGCCTATGGTTTAAAAGGAAATATCTTCCCCTGAAAACTAGACAGAAGCATTCTCAGAAACTTATTTGTGATGTGCGCCCTCAACTAACAGTGTTGAAGCATTCTTTTGATAGAGCAGTTTTGAAACACTCTTTTTGTGGAATCTGCAAGTGGATATTTGTCTAGCTTTGAGGATTTCGTTGGAAACGGGATTACATATAAAAAGCAGACAGCAGCATTCTCAGTAAACTTATTTGTGATGTGCGCCCTCAACTAACAGTGTTGAACCTTTCTTTTGATAGAGCAGTTTTGAAACACTCTTTTTGTAATATCTGCAAGAGGATATTTGGATAGCTTTGAGGATTTCGTTGGAAACGGGATTGTCTTCATATAAACTCTAGACAGAAGCATTCTCAGAAGCTTCATTGGGATGTTTCAATTGAAGTCACAGTGTTGAACAGTCCCTTTCATACAGCAGGTTTGAAACACTCTTTTTGTAGTATCTGGAAGTGGACATTTGGAGAGATCTCAGGAATACGGTGATAAAGGAAATATCTTCCAATAAAAGCTAGATAGAAGCAATGTCAGAAACTTTTTCATGATGTATCTACTCAGCTAACAGAGTTGAACCTTTCTTTTGAGAGAGCAGTTTTAAAACACTCTTTTTGTGGAATCTGCAAGTGGATATTTGTCTAGCTTTGAGGATTTCGTTGGAAACGGGATTACATATAAAAAGCAGACAGCAGCATTCCCAGAAATTTCTTTGTGAAGTTTGCATTCAAGTCACAGAGTTGAACATGCCCTTTCATAGAGCAGGTTTGAAACACTCTTTTTGTAGTATCTGTATGTGGACATTTGGAGCGCTTTCAGGCCTATGGTGAAAAAGGAAATATCTTCCCCTGAAAACTAGACAGAAGCATTCTCAGAAACTTATTTGTGATGTGCGCCCTCAACTAACAGTGTTGAAGCTTTCTTTTGATAGAGCAGTTTTGAAACACTCTTTTTGTAATATCTGCAAGAGGATATTTGGATAGCTTTGAGGATTTCGTTGGAAACGGGATTGTCTTCATATAAACTCTAGACAGAAGCATTCTCAGAAGCTTCATTGGGATGTTTCAATTGAAGTCACAGTGTTGAACAGTCCCTTTCATAGAGCAGGTTTGAAACACTCTTTTTGTAGTATCTGGATGTGGACATTTGGAGCGCTTTCAGGCCTATGGTGAAAAAGGAAATATCTTCCCCTGAAAACTAGACAGAAGCATTCTCAGAAACTTATTTGTGATGTGCGCCCTCAACTAACAGTGTTGAAGCATTCTTTTGATAGAGCAGTTTTGAAACACTCTTTTTGTGGAATCTGCAAGTAGATATTGTCTAGCTTTGAGGATTTCGTTGGAAACGGGATTACATATAAAAAGCAGACAGCAGCATTCCCAGAAACTTCTTTGTGATGTTTGCATTCAAGTCACAGAGTTGAACATTCCCTTTCATAGAGCAGGTTTGAAACACTCTTTTTATAGTATCTGGATGTGGACATTTGGAGCGCTTTCAGGCCTATGGTGAAAAAGGAAATATCTTCCCCTGAAAACTAGACAGAAGCATTCTCAGAATCTTATTTGTGATGTGCGCCCTCAACTAACAGTGTTGAAGCTTTCTTTTGATAGAGCAGTTTTGAAACACTCTTTTTGTAAAATCTGCAAGAGGATATTTGGATAGCTTTGAGGATTTCGTTGGAAACGGGATTGTCTTCATATAAACTCTAGACAGAAGCATTCTCAGAAGCTTCATTGGGATGTTTCAATTGAAGTCACAGTGTTGAACAGTCCCTTTCATAGAGCAGGTTTGAAACACTCTTTTTGTAGTATCTGGATGTGGACATTTGGAGCGCTTTCAGGCCTATGGTTTAAAAGGAAATATCTTCCCCTGAAAACTAGACAAAAGCATTCTCAGAAACTTATTTGTGATGTGCGCCCTCAACTAACAGTGTTGAAGCATTCTTTTGATAGAGCAGTTTTGAAACACTCTTTTTGTGGAATCTGGAAGTGGATATTTGTCTAAATTTGAGGATTTCGTTGGAAACGGGATTACATATAAAAAGCAGACAGCAGCATTCTCAGAAACTTATTTGTGATGTGCGCCCTCAACTAACAGTGTTGAAGCTTTCTTTTGATAGAGCAGTTTTGAAACACTCTTTTTGTAATATCTGCAAGAGGATATTTGGATAGCTTTGAGGATTTCGTTGGAAACGGGATTAATTATACAAAGCAGACAGCAGCATTCTCAGAAGCTTCATTGGGATGTTTCAATTGAAGTCACAGTGTTGAACAGTCCCTTTCATAGAGCAGGTTTGAAACACTCTTTTTGTAGTATCTGGAAGTGGACATTTGGAGAGATCTCAGGAGTACGGTGATAAAGGAAATATATTCCAATAAAAGCTAGATAGAAGCAATGTCAGAAACTTTTTCATGATGTATCTACTCAGCTAACAGAGTTGAACCTTCCTTTGAGAGAGCAGTTTTGAAACACTCTTTTTGTGGAATGTGCAAGTGGATATTTGTCTAGCTTTGAGGATTTCGTTGGAAACGGGATTACATATAAAAATCAGACAGCAGCATTCTCAGAAACTTCTTTGTGATGTTTGCATTGAAGTCCCAGATTTGAACATTCCCTTTCATAGAGCAGGTTTGAAACACGCCTTTTGTCATATCTGGAAGTTGTCCATTTGGAGCGCATTCCGGCTTGTGTTGAAAAAGGAAATATCCTCCCATAAAAACTAGATAGAAGCATTCTCAGAATCTTATTTGTGATGTGCGCCCTCAACTAACAGTGTTGAAGCTTTCTTTTGATAGAGCAGTTTTGAAACACTCTTTTCGTAAAATCTGCAAGAGGATATTTGGATAGCTTTGAGGATTACGTTGGAAACGGGATTGTCTTCATATAAACTCTAGACAGAAGCATTCTCAGAAGCTTCATTGGGATGTTTCAATTGAAGTCACAGTGTTGAACAGTCCCTTTCATAGAGCAGGTTTGAAACACTCTTTTTGTAGTATCTGGATGTGGACATTTGGAGCGCTTTCAGGCCTAGGGTTTAAAAGGAAATATCTTCCCCTGAAAACTAGACAGAAGCATTCTCAGAAACTTATTTGTGATGTGCGCCCTCAACTAACAGTGTTGAAGCTTTCTTTTGATAGAGCAGTTTTGAAACACTCTTTTTGTGGAATCTGCAAGTGGATATTTGTCTAGCTTTGAGGATTTCGTTGGAAACGGGATTACATATAAAAAGCAGACAGCAGCATTCTCAGAAACTTATTTGTGATGTGCGCCCTCAACTAACAGTGTTGAAGCTTTCTTTTGATAGAGCAGTTTTGAAACACTCTTTTTGTAATATCTGCAAGAGGATATTTGGATAGCTTTGAGGATTTCGTTGGAAACGGGATTAATTATACAAAGCAGACAGCAGCATTCTCAATAGCTTCATTGGGATGTTTCAATTGAAGTCACAGTGTTGAACAGTCCCTTTCATAGAGCAGGTTTGAAACACTCTTTTTGTAGCATCTGGAAGTGGACATTTGGAGCGTTCTCAGGACTACGGTGAAAAAGGAAATATCTTCCAATAAAAGTTAGATAGAAGCAATGTCAGAAACTTTTTCATGATGTATCTATTCAGCTAAAAGAGTTGAACCTTTCTTTTGAGAGAACAGTTTTGAAACAATATTTTTGTGGAATCTGCAAGGGGATATTTGTCTAGCTTTGAGGATTGCGTTGGAAACGGGATTACATTTAAAAAGCAGACAGCAGCATTCCCAGTAACTTCTTTGTGATGTTTGCATTCAAGTCAGAGAGTTGAACATTCCCTTTCATAGAGCAGGTTTGTAACACTCTTTTTGAAGTATCTGGATGTGGACATTTGGAGCGCTTTCAGGCCTATGGTGAAAAAGGAAATATCTTCCCCTGAAAACTAGACAGAAGCATTCTCAGAATCTTATTTGTGATGTGCGCCCTCAACTAACAGTGTTGAAGCTTTCTTTTGATAGAGCAGTTTTGAAACACTCTTTTTGTAAAATCTGCAAGAGGATATTTGGATAGCTTTGAGGATTTCGTTGGAAACGGGATTGTCTTCATATAAACTCTAGACAGAAGCATTCTCAGAAGCTTCATTGGGATGTTTCAATTGAAGTCACAGTGTTGAACATTCCCTTTCATAGAGCAGGTTTGAAACACTCTTTTTGTAGTATCTGGATGTGGACATTTGGAGCGCTTTCAGGCCTATGGTTTAAAAGGAAATATCTTCCCCTGAAAACTAGACAGAAGCATTCTCAGAAACTTATTTGTGATGTGCGCCCTCAACTAACAGTGTTGAACCTTTCTTTTGATAGAGCAGTTTTGAAACACTCTTTTTGTAATATCTGCAAGAGGATATTTGGATAGCTTTGAGGATTTCGTTGGAAACGGGATTACATATAAAAAGCAGACAGCAGCATTCTCAGAAACTTATTTGTGATGTGCGCCCTCAACTAACAGTGTTGAAGCTTTCTTTTGATAGAGCAGTTTTGAAACACTCTTTTTGTAATATCTGCAAGAGGATATTTGGATAGCTTTGAGGATTTCGTTGGAAACGGGATTAATTATACAAAGCAGACAGCAGCATTCTCAGAAGCTTCATTGGGATGTTTCAATTGAAGTCACAGTGTTGAACAGTTCCTTTCATAGAACAGGTTTGAAACACTCTTTTTGTAGCATCTGGAAGTGGACATTTGGAGCGCTCTCAGGACTACGGTGAAAATGGAAATATCTTACAATAAAAGCTACATAGAAGCAATGTCAGAAACTTTTTCATGATGTATCTACTCAGCTAACAGAGTTGAACCTTTCTTTTGAGAGAGCAGTTTTGAAACACTCTTTTTGTGGAATCTGCAAGTGGATACTTGTCTAGCTTTGAGGATTTCGTTGGAAACGGGATTACATATAAAAAGCAGACAGCAGCATTCCCAGAAACTTCTTTGTGATGTTTGCATTCAAGTCACAGAGTTGAACATTCCCTTTCATAGAGCAGGTTTGAAACACTCTTTTTGTAGTATCTGGATGTGGACATTTGGAGCGCTTTCAGGCCTATGGTGAAAAAGGAAATATCTTCCCCTGAAAACTAGACAGAAGCATTCTCAGAAACTTATTTGTGATGTGCGCCCTCAACTAACAGTGTTGAACCTTTCTTTTGATAGAGCAGTTTTGAAAAACTCTTTTTGTAAAATCTGCAAGAGGATATTTGGATAGCTTTGAGGATTTCGTTGGAAACGGGATTGTCTTCATATAAACTCTAGACAGAAGCATTCTCAGAAGCTTCATTGGGATGTTTCAATTGAAGTCACAGTGTTGAACAGTCCCTTTCATAGAGCAGGTTTGAAACACTCTTTTTGTAGTATCTGGATGTGGACATTTGGAGCGCTTTCAGGCCTATGGTGAAAAAGGAAATATCTTCCCCTGAAAACTAGACAGAAGCATTCTCAGAAACTTATTTGTGATGTGCGCCCTCAACTAACAGTGTTGAAGCTTTCTTTTGATAGAGCAGTTTTGAAACACTCTTTTTGTGGAATCTGCAAGTGGATATTTGTCTAGCTTTGAGGATTTCGTTGGAAACGGGATTACATATAAAAAGCAGACAGCAGCATTCTCAGTAAACTTATTTGTGATGTGCGCCCTCAACTAACAGTGTTGAACCTTTCTTTTGATAGAGCAGTTTTGAAACACTCTTTTTGTAATATCTGCAAGAGGATATTTGGATAGCTTTGAGGATTTCGTTGGAAACGGGATTGTCTTCATATAAACTCTAGACAGAAACATTCTCAGAAGCTTCATTGGGATGTTTCAATTGAAGTCACAGTGTTGAACAGTTCCTTTCATAGAACAGGTTTGAAACACTCTTTTTGTAGTATCTGGAAGTGGACATTTGGAGCGCTCTCAGGACTACGGTGAAAAAGGAAATATCTTCCAATAAAAGCTACATAGAAGCAATGTCAGAAACTTTTTCATGATGTATCTACTCAGCTAACAGAGTTGAACCTTTCCTTTGAGAGAGCAGTTTTGAAACACTCTTTTTGTGGAATCTGCAAGTGGATATTTGTCTAGCTTTGAGGATTTCGTTGGAAACGGGATTACATATAAAAAGCAGACAGCAGCATTCCCAGAAACTTCTTTGTGTTGTTTGCATTCAAGTCACAGAGTTGAACATTCCCTTTCATAGAGCAGGTTTGAAACACTCTTTTTGTAGTATCTGGATGTGGACATTTGCAGCGCTTTCAGGCCTAAGGTGAAAAAGGAAATATCTTCCCCTGAAAACTAGACAGAAGCATTCTCAGAAACTTATTTGTGATGTGCGCCCTCAACTAACAGTGTTGAACCTTTCTTTTGATAGAGCAGTTTTGAAACACTCTTTTTGTAATATCTGCAAGAGGATATTTGGATAGCTTTGAGGATTTCGTTGGAAACGGGATTGTCTTCATATAAACTCTAGACAGAAGCATTCTCAGAAGCGTCATTGGGATGTTTCAATTGAAGTCACAGTGTTGAACAGTCCCTTTCATAGAGCAGGTTTGAAACACTCTTTTTGTAGTATCTGGATGTGGACATTTGGAGCGCTTTCAGGCCTATGGTTTAAAAGGAAATATCTTCCCCTGAAAACTAGACAGAAGCATTCTCAGAAACTTATTTGTGATGTGCGCCCTCAACTAACAGTGTTGAAGCATTCTTTTGATAGAGCAGTTTTGAAACACTCTTTTTGTGGAATCTGCAAGTGGATATTTGTCTAGATTTGAGGATTTCGTTGGAAACGGGATTACATATAAAAAGCAGACAGCAGCATTCTCAGAAACTTATTTGTGATGTGCGCCCTCAACTAACAGTGTTGAAGCTTTCTTTTGATAGAGCAGTTTTGAAACACTCTTTTTGTAATATCTGCAAGAGGATATTTGGATAGCTTTGAGGATTTCGTTGGAAACGGGATTAATTATACAAAGCAGACAGCAGCATTCTCAGAAGCTTCATTGGGATGTTTCAATTGAAGTCAGAGTGTTGAACAGTCCCTTTCATAGAGCAGGTTTGAAACACTCTTTTTGTAGTATCTGGAAGTGGACATTTGGAGCACTCTCAGGACTACGGTGAAAAGGGAATTATCTTCCAATAAAAGCTAGATAGAAGCAATGTCAGAAACTTTTTCATGATGTATCTACTCAGCTAAAAGAGTTGAACCTTTCTTTTGCGAGATCAGTTTTGAAACACTATTTTTGTGGAATCTGCAAGTGGATATTTGTCTAGCTTTGAGGATTTCGTTGGAAAGGGGATTACATATAAAAAGCAGACAGCAGCATTCCCAGAAACTTCTCTGTGAAATTTGCATTCAAGTGACAGAGTTGAACATTCCCTTTCATAGAGCAGGTTTGAAACACTCTTTTTGTAGTATCTGGATGTGGACGTTTGGAGCGCTTTCAGGCCTATGGTGAAAAAGGAAATATCTTCCCCTGAAAACTAGACAGAAGCGTTCTCAGAATCTTATTTGTGATGTGCGCCCTCAACTAACAGTGTTGAAGCTTTCTTTTGATAGAGCAGTTTTGAAACACTCTTTTTGTAAAATCTCCAAGAGGATATTTGGATAGCTTTGAGGATTTCTTTGGAAACGGGATTGTCTTCATATAAACTCTAGACAGAAGCATTCTCAGAAGCGTCATTGGGATGTTTCAATTGAAGTCACAGTGTTGAACAGTCCCTTTCATAGAGCAGGTTTGAAACACTCTTTTTGTAGTATCTGGATGTGGACATTTAGAGCGATTTCAGGCCTATGGTGAAAAAGGAAATATCTTCCCCTGAAAACTAGACAGAAGCATTCTCAGAATCTTATTTGTGATGTGCGCCCTCAACTAACAGTGTTGAAGCTTTCTTTTGATAGAGCAGTTTTGAAACGCTCTTTTTGTAAAATCTGCAAGAGGATATTTGGATAGCTTTGAGGATTTCGTTGGAAACGGGATTACATATAAAAAGCAGACAGCAGCATTCTCAGTAAACTTATTTGTGATGTGCGCCCTCAACTAACAGTGTTGAACCTTTCTTTTGATAGAGCAGTTTTGAAACACTCTTTTTGTAATATCTGCAAGAGGATATTTGGATAGCTTTGAGGATTTCGTTGGAAACGGGATTGTCTTCATATAAACTCTAGACAGAAGCATTCTCAGAAGCTTCATTGGGATGTTTCAATTGAAGTCACAGTGTTGAACAGTCCCTTTCATAGAGCAGGTTTGAAACACTCTTTTTGTAGTATCTGGAGGTGGACATTTGGAGCGTTCTCAGGACTACAGTGGAAAAGGAAATATCTTCCAGTAAAAGCTAGATAGAAGCAATGTCAGAAAATTTTTCATGATGTATCTACTCAGCTAACAGAGTTGAACCTTTCTTTTGAGAGAGCAGTTTTGAAACACTCTTTTTGTGGAATCTGCAAGTGGATATTTGTCTAGGTTTGAGGATTGCGTTTGAAACGGGATTACATATAAAAAGCAGACAGCAGCATTCCCAGAAACTTCTTTGTGATGTTTGCATTCAAGTCACAGAGTTGAACATTCCCTTTCATAGAGCAGGTTTGAAACACTCTTTTTGTAGTATCTGGAAGTGGACATTTGGAGCGCTCTCAGGACTACGGTGAAAAAGGAAATATCTTCCAATAAAAGGTAGATAGAAGCATTCTCAGAAACTTATTTGTGATGTGCGCCCTCAACTAACAGTGTTGAACCTTTCTTTTGATAGAGCAGTTTTGAAACACTCTTTTTGTAAAATCTGCAAGAGGATATTTGGATAGCTTTGAGGATTTCGTTGGAAACGGGATTGTCTTCATATAAACTCTAGACAGAAGCATTCTCAGAAGCTTCATTGGGATGTTTCAATTGAAGTCACAGTGTTGAACATTCCCTTTCATAGAGCAGGTTTGAAACACTCTTTTTGTAGTATCTGGATGTGGACATTTGGAGCGCTTTCAGGCCTATGGTTTAAAAGGAAATATCTTCCCCTGAAAACTAGACAGAAGCATTCTCAGAAACTTATTTGTGATGTGCGCCCTCAACTAACAGTGTTGAACCTTTCTTTTGATAGAGCAGTTTTGAAACACTCTTTTTGTAATATCTGCAAGAGGATATTTGGATAGCTTTGAGGATTTCGTTGGAAACGGGATTACATATAAAAAGCAGACAGCAGCATTCTCAGAAACTTATTTGTGATGTGCGCCCTCAACTAACAGTGTTGAAGCTTTATTTTGATAGAGCAGTTTTGAAACACTCTTTTTGTAATATCTGCAAGAGAATATTTGGATAGCTTTGAGGATTTCGTTGGAAACGGGATTGTCTTCATATAAACTCTAGAAAGAAGCATTCTCAGAAGCTTCATTGGGAGGTTTCAATTGAAGTCACAGTGTTGAACAGTCCCTTTCATAGAGCAGGTTTGAAACACTCTTTTTGTAGTATCTGGAAGTGGACATTTGGAGCGCTCTCAGGACTACGGTGATAAAGGAAATATCTTCCAATAAAAGCTACATAGAAGCAATGTCAGAAACTTTTTCATGATGTATCTACTCAGCTAACAGAGTTGAACCTTTCTTTTGAGAGAGCAGTTTTGAAACACTCTTTTTGTGGAATCTGCAAGTGGATATTTTGTCTAGCTTTGAGGATTTCGTTGGAAACGGGATTACATATAAAAAGCAGACAGCAGCATTCCCAGAAACTTCTTCGTGATGTTTGCATTCAAGTCACAGAGTTGAACATTCCCTTTCATAGAGCAGGTTTGAAACACTCTTTTTGTAGTATCTGGATGTGGACATTTGCAGCGCTTTCAGGCCTAAGGTGAAAAAGGAAATATCTTCCCCTGAAAACTAGACAGAAGCATTCTCAGAAACTTATTTGTGATGTGCGCCCTCAACTAACAGTGTTGAAGCTTTCTCTTGATAGAGCAGTTTTGAAACACTCTTTTTGTGGAATCTGCAAGAGGATATTTGGATAGCTTTGAGGATTTCGTTGGAAACGGGATTGTCTTCATATAAACTCTAGACAGAAGCATTCTCAGAAGCGTCATTGGGATGTTTCAATTGAAGTCACAGTGTTGAACAGTCCCTTTCATAGAGCAGGTTTGAAACACTCTTTTTGTAGTATCTGGATGTGGACATTTGGAGCGCTTTCAGGCCTATGGTTTAAAAGGAAATATCTTCCCCTGAAAACTAGACAGAAGCATTCTCAGAAACTTATTTGTGATGTGCGCCCTCAACTAACAGTGTTGAAGCTTTCTTTTTATACAGCAGTTTTGAAACACTCTTTTTGTGGAATCTGCAAGTGTATATTTGTCTAGCTTTGAGGATTTCGTTGGAAACGGGATTACATATAAAAAGCAGACAGCAGCATTCTCAGAAACTTATTTGTGATGTGCGCCCTCAACTAACAGTGTTGAAGCTTTATTTTGATAGAGCAGTTTTGAAACACTCTTTTTGTAATATCTGCAAGAGAATATTTGGATAGCTTTGAGGATTTCGTTGGAAACGGGATTGTCTTCATATAAACTCTAGAAAGAAGCATTCTCAGAAGCTTCATTGGGATGTTTCAATTGAAGTCACAGTGTTGAACAGTCCCTTTCATAGAGCAGGTTTGAAACACTCTTTTTGTAGTATCTGCAAGTGGACATTTGGAGAGATCTCAGGAATACGGTGATAAAGGAAATATCTTCCAATAAAAGCTAGATAGAAGCAATGTCAGAAACTTTTTCATGATGTATCTACTCAGCTAACAGAGTTGAACCTTTCTTTTGAGAGAGCAGTTTTGAAACACTCTTTTTGTGGAATCTGCAAGTGGATATTTGTCTAGCTTTGAGGATTTCGTTGGAAACGGGATTACATATAAAAAGCAGACAGCAGCATTCCCAGAATCTTCTTTGTGATGTTTGCATTCAAGTCACAGAGTTGAACATTCCCTTTCATAGAGCAGGTTTGAAACACTCTTTTTGTAGTATCTCGATGTGGACATTTGGAGCGCTTTCAGGCCTATGGTGAAAAAGGAAATATCTTCTCCTGAAAACTAGACAGAAGCATTCTCAGAATCTTATTTGTGATGTGCGCCCTCAACTAACAGTGTTGAAACTTTCTTTGGATAGAGCAGTTTTGAAACACTCTTTTTGTAAAATCTGCAAGAGGATATTTGCATAGCTTTGAGGATTTCATTGGAAACGGGATTGTCTTCATATAAACTCTAGACAGAAGCATTCTCAGAAGCTTCATTGGGATGTTTCAATTGAAGTCACAGTGTTGAACAGTCCCTTTCATAGAGCAGGTTTGAAACACTCTTTTTGTAGTATCTGGATGTGGACATTTCGAGCGCTTTCAGGCCTATGGTGAAAAAGGAAATATCTTCCCCTGAAAACTAGACAGAAGCATTCTCAGAAACTTACTTTTGATGTGCGCCCTCAACTAACAGTGTTGAAGCATTCTTTTGATAGAGCAGTTTTGAAACACTCTTTTTGTGGAATCTGCAAGTGGATATTTGTCTAGCTTTCAGGATTTCGTTGGAAGCGGGATTACATATAAAAAGCAGACAGCAGCATTCTCAGAAACTTATTTGTGATGTGCGCCCTCAACTAACAGTGTTGAAGCTTTCTTTTGATAGAGCAGTTTTGAAACACTCTTTTTGTAATATCTGCAAGAGGATATTTGGATAGCTTTGAGGATTTCGTTGGAAACGGGATTAATTATACAAAGCAGACAGCAGCATTCTCAGAAGCTTCATTGGGATGTTTCAATTGAAGTCACAGTGTTGAACAGTCCCTTTCATAGAGCAGGTTTGAAACACTCTTTTTGTAGTATCTGGAAGTGGACATTTGGAGCGCTCTCAGGACTACGGTGAAAAAGGAAATATCTTCCAATAAAAGCTACATAGAAGCAATGTCAGAAACTTTTTCATGATGTATCTACTCAGCTAACAGAGATGAACCTTTCTTTTGAGAGAGCAGTTTTGAAACACTCTTTTTGTGGAATCTGGAAGTGGATATTTGTCTAGCTTTGAGGATTTCGTTGGAAACGGGATTACATATAAAAAGCAGACAGCAGCATTCCCAGTAACTTCTTTGTGATGTTTGCATTCAAGTCACAGAGTTGAACATTCCCTTTCAGAGAGCAGGTTTGAAACACTCTTTTTGTAGTATCTGGATGTGGACATTTGGAGCGCTTTCAGGCCTATTGTGAAAAAGGAAATATCTTCCCCTGAAAACTAGACAGAAGCATTCTCAGAATCTTATTTGTGATGTGCGCCCTCAACTAACAGTGTTGAAGCTTTCTTTTGATAGAGCAGTTTTGAAACACTCTTTTTGTAAAATCTGCAAGAGGATATTTGGATAGCTTTGAGGATTTCGTTGGAAACGGGATTGTCTTCATATAAACTCTAGACAGAAGCATTCTCAGAAGCTTCATTGGGATGTTTTAGTTGAAGTCACAGTGTTGAACAGTCCCTTTCATAGAGCAGGTTTGAAACACTCTTTTTGTAGTATCTGGATGTGGACATTTGGAGCGCTTTCAGGCCTATGGTTTAAAGGGAAATATCTTCCCCTGAAAACTAGACAGAAGCATTCTCAGAAACTTATTTGTGATGTGCGCCCTCAACTAACAGTGTTGAACCTTTCTTTTGATAGAGCAGTTTTGAAACACTCTTTTTGTAATATCTGCAAGAGGATATTTGGATAGCTTTGAGGATTTCGTTGGAAACGGGATTAATTATAAAAAGCAGACAGCAGCATTCTCAGAAACTTATTTGTGATGTGCGCCCTCAACTAACAGTGTTGAAGCTTTCTTTTGATAGAGCAGTTTTGAAACACTCTTTTTGTAATATCTGCAAGAGGATATTTGGATAGCTTTGAGGATTTCGTTGGAAACGGGATTAATTATACAAAGCAGACAGCAGCATTCTCAGAAGCTTCATTGGGATGTTTCAATTGAAGTCACAGTGTTGAACAGTCCCTTTCATAGAGCAGGTTTGAAACACTCTTTTTGTAGTATCTGGAAGTGGACATTTGGAGCGTTCTCAGGACTACGGTGAAAAAGGAAATATCTTCCAATAAAAGCTAGATAGAAGCAATGTCAGAAACTTTTTCATGACGTATCTACTCAGCTAACAGAGTTGAACCTTCCTTTTGAGAGAGCAGTTTTGAAACACTCTTTTTGTGGAATCTGCAAGTGGATATTTGTCTAGCTTTGAGGATTTCGTTGGAAACGGGATTACATATAAAAAGCAGACAGCAGCATTTCCAGTAACTTCTTTGTGATGTTTGCATTCAAGTCACAGAGTTGAACATTCCCTCTCATAGAGCAGGTTTGAAACACTCTTTTTGTAGTATCTGGATGTGGACATTTGGAGCGCTTTCAGGCCTATGGTGAAAAAGGAAATATCTTCCCCTGAAAACTAGACAGAAGCATTCTCAGAATCTTATTTGTGATGTGCGCCCTCAACTAACAGTGTTGAAGCTTTCTTTTGATAGAGCAGTTTTGAAACACTCTTTTTGTAAAATCTGCAAGAGTATATTTGGATAGCTTTGAGGATTTCGTTTGAAACGGGACTGTCTTCATATAAACTCTAGACAGAAGCATTCTCAGAAGCATCATGGGGATGTTTCAATTGAAGTCACAATGTTGAACAGTCCCTTTCATAGAGCAGGTTTGAAACACTCTTTTTGTAGTATCTGGATGTGGACATTTGAGCGCTTTCAGGCCTATGGTTTAAAAGGAAATATCTTCCCCTGAAAACTAGACAGAAGCATTCTCAGAAACTTATTTGTGATGTGCGCCCTCAACTAACAGTGTTGAAGCATTCTTTTGATAGAGCAGTTTTGAAACACTCTTTTTGTGGAATCTGCAAGTGGATATTTGTCTAGCTTTGAGGATTTCGTTGGAAACGGGATTACATATAAAAAGCAGACAGCAGCATTCTCAGAAACTTATTTGTGATGTGCGCCCTCAACTAACAGTGTTGAAGCTTTCTTTTGATAGAGCAGTTTTGAAACACTCTTTTTGTAATATCTGCAAGAGGATATTTGGATAGCTTTGAGGATTTCGTTGGAAACGGGATTAATTATACAAAGCAGACAGCAGCATTCTCAGAAGCTTCATTGGGAAGTTTCAATTGAAGTCACAGTGTTGAACAGTTCCTTTCATAGAACAGGTTTCAAACACTCTTTTTGTAGTATCTGGAAGTGGACATTTGGAGCGCTCTCAGGACTACGGTGAAAAAGGAAATATCTTCCAATAAAAGCTACATAGAAGCAATGTCAGAAACTTTTTCATGATGTATCTACACAGCTAAAAGAAGTTGAACCTTTCTTTTGAGAGAGCAGTTTTGAAACACTCTTTTTGTGGAATCTGCAAGTGGATATTTGTCTAGCTTTGAGGATTTCGTTGGAAACGGGATTACATATCAAAAGCAGACAGCAGCATTCCCAGAAACTTCTTTGTGATGTTTGCATTCAAGTCACAGAGTTGAACATTCCCTTTCATAGAGCAGGTTTGAAACACTCTTTTTGTATTATCTGGATGTGGACATTTGCAGCGCTTTCAGGCATAAGGTGAAAAAGGAAATATCTTCCCCTGAAAACTAGACAGAAGCATTCTCAGAAACTTATTTGTGATGTGCGCCCTCAACTAACAGTGTTGAAGCTTTCTTTTGATAGAGCAGTTTTGAAACACTCTTTTTGTAATATCTGCAAGAGGATATTTGGATAGCTTTGAGGATTTCGTTGGAAACGGGATTGTCTTCATATAAACTCTAGACAGAAGCATTCTCAGAAGCTTCATTGGGATGTTTCAATTGAAGTCACAGTGTTGAACAGTCCCTTTGATAGAGCAGGTTTGAAACACTCTTTTTGTAGTATCTGGATGTGGACATTTGCAGCGCTTTCAGGCATAAGGTGAAAAAGGAAATATCTTCCCCTGAAAACTAGACAGAAGCATTCTCAGAAACTTATTTGTGATGTGCGCCCTCAACTAACAGTGTTGAACCTTTCTTTTGATAGACCAGTTTTGAAACACTCTTTTTGTAATATCTGCAAGAGGATATTTGGATAGCTTTGAGGATTTCGTTGGAAACGGGATTAATTATAAAAAGCAGACAGCAGCATTCTCAGAAACTTATTTGTGATGTGCGCCCTCAACTAACAGTGTTGAAGCTTTATTTTGATAGAGCAGTTTTGAAACACTCTTTTTGTAATATCTGCAAGAGAATATTTGGATAGCTTTGAGGATTTCGTTGGAAACGGGATTGTCTTCATATAAACTCTAGAAAGAAGCATTCTCAGAAGCTTCATTGGGATGTTTCAATTGAAGTCACAGTGTTGAACAGTCCCTTTCATAGAGCAGGTTTGAAACACTCTTTTTGTAGTATCTGGAAGTGGACATTTGGAGAGATCTCAGGAATACGGTGATAAAGGAAATATCTTCCAATAAAAGCTAGGTAGAAGCAATGTCAGAAACTTTTTCATGATGTATCTACTCAGCTAACAGAGTTGAACCTTTCTTTTGAGAGAGCAGTTTTGAAACACTCTTTTTGTGGAATCTGCAAGTGGATATTTGTCTAGCTTTGAGGACTTCGTTGGAAACGGGATTACATATAAAAAGCAGACAGCAGCATTCCCAGAAACTTCTTTGTGATATTTGCATTCAAGTCACAGACTTGAACATTCCCTTTCATAGAGCAGGTTTGAAACACTCTTTTTGTAGTATCTGGATGTGGACATTTGGAGCGCTTTCCGGCCTATGGTGAAAAAGGAAATATCTTCCCCTGAAAACTAGACAGAAGCATTCTCAGAAACTTATTTGTGATGTGCGCCCTCAACTAACAGTGTTGAAGCTTTCTTTTGATAGAGCAGTTTTGAAACACTCTTTTTGTAAAATCTGCAAGAGGATATTTGGATAGCTTTGAGGATTTCGTTGGAAACGGGATTGTCTTCATATACAATCTAGACAGAAGCATTCTCAGAAGCTTCATTGGGATGTTTCAATTGAAGTTACAGTGTTGAACACTCCCTTTCGTAGAGCAGGTTTGAAACACTCTTTTTGTAATATCTGGAAGTGGACATTTGGAGCGTTCTCAGGACTATGGTGAAAAAGGAAATAACTTCCAATAAAAGCTAGATAGAAGCAATATCATAAACTTTTTCATGATGTATCTACTCAGCTAAAAGAGTTGAACCTTTCTTTTGAGAGAGCAGTTTTCAAACACTCTTTTTGTGGAATCTGCAAGTGGATATTTGTCTGGCTTTGAAGATTTCGTTGGAAACGGGATTACATATAAAAAGCAGACAGCAGCATTCCCAGAATCTTGTTTGTGATGTTTGCATTCAAGTCACAGAGTTGAACATTCCCTTTCAGAGAGCAGGTTTGAAACACTCTTTTTATAGTATCTGGATGTGGACATTTGGAGCGCTTTCAGGCCTATGGTGAAAAAGGAAATATCTTTTCCTGAAAACTAGACAGAAGCATTCTCAGAAACTTATTTGTGATGTGCGCCCTCAACTAACAGTGTTGAAGCTTTCTTTTGATAGAGCAGTTTTGAAACACTCTTTTTGTAATATCTGCAAGAGGATATTTGGATAGCTTTGAGGATTTCGTTGGAAACGGGATTGTCTTCATATAAACTCTAGGCAGAAGCATTCTCAGAAGCTTCATTGGGATGTTTCAACTGAAGTTACAGTGTTGAACAGTCCCTTTCATAGAGCAGGTTTCAAACACTCTTTTTGTAGTATCTGGATGTGGACATTTGGAGCGCTTTCAGGCCTATGGTTTAAAAGGAAATATCTTCCCCTGAAAACTAGACAGAAGCATTCTCAGAAACTTATTTGTGATGTGCGCCCTCAACTAACAGTGTTGAAGCATTCTTTTGATAGAGCAGTTTTGAAACACTCTTTTTGTGGAATCTGCAAGTGGATATTTGTCTAGCTTTGAGGATTTCGTTGGAAACGGGATTACATATAAAAAGCAGACAGCAGCATTCTCAGAAACTTATTTGTGATGTGCGCCCTCAACTAACAGTGTTGAAGCTTTCTTTTGATAGAGCAGTTTTGAAACACTCTTTTTGTAATATCTGCAAGAGGATATTTGGATAGCTTTGAGGATTTCGTTGGAAACGGGATTAATTATACAAAGCAGACAGCAGCATTCTCAGAAATTTCTTAGGGATGTTTCAATTGAAGTCACAGTGTTGAACATTCCCTGTCATAGAGCAGGTTTGAAACACTCTTTTTGTAGTATCTGGAAGTGGACATTTGGAGCGCTCTCAGGACTACGGTGAAAAAGGAAATATCTTCCAATAAAAGCAAGATAGAAGCAATGTCAGAAACTTTTTCATGATGTATCTACTCAGCTAACAGAGTTGAACCTTTCTTTTGAGAGAGCAGTTTTGAAACACTCTTTTTGTGGAATCTGCAAGTGGATATTTGTCTAGCTTTGAGGATTTCGTTGGAAACGGGATTACATATAAAAAGCAGACAGCAGCATTCCCAGAAAGTTCTTTGTGAAATTTGCATTCAAGTCACAGAGTTGAACATTCCCTTTCATAGAGCAGGTTTGAAACACTCTTTTTGTAGTATCTGGATGTGGACATTTGGAGCGCTTTCAGGCCTATGGTGAAAAAGGAAATATCTTCCCCTGAAAACTAGACAGAAGCATTCTCAGAAACTTATTTGTGATGTGCCCCCTCAACTAACAGTGTTAAACCTTTCTTTTGATAGAGTAGTTTTGAAACACTCTTTTTGTAAAATCTGCAATAGGATATTTGGATATCTTTGAGGATTTCGTTGGAAACGGGATTGTCTTCATATAAACTCTAGACTGAAGCATTCTCAGAAGCTTCATTGGGATGTTTCAATTGAAGTCACAGTGTTGAACAGTCCCTTTCATAGAGCAGGTTTGAAACACTCTTTTTGTAGTATCTGGATGTGGACATTTGGAGCGCTTTCAGGCCTATGGTGAAAAAGGAAATATCTTCCCCTGAAAACTAGACAGAAGCATTCTCAGAAACTTATTTGTGATGTGCGCCCTCAACTAACAGTGTTGAAGCTTTCTTTTGATAGAGCAGTTTTGAAACACTCTTTTTGTGGAATCTGCAAGTGGATATTTGTCTAGGTTTGAGGATTTCGTTGGAAACGGGATTACATATAAAAAGCAGACAGCAGCATTCTCAGCAAACTTATTTGTGATGTGCGCCCTCAACTAACAGTGTGGAACTTTTCTTTTGATAGAGCAGTTTTGAAACACTCTTTTTGTAAAATCTGCAAGAGGATATTTGGATAGCTTTGAGGATTTCGTTGGAAACGGGATTGTCTTCATATAGAATCTAGACAGAAGCATTCTCAGAAGCTTCATTGGGATGTTTCACTTGAAGTCACAGTGTTGAACAGTCCCTTTCATAGAGCAGGTTTGAAACACTCTTTTTGTAGTATCTGGAAGTGGACATTTGGAGCGCTCTCAGGACTACGGTGAAAAAGGAAATATCTTCCAATAAAAGCTAGATAGAAGCAATGTCAGAAACTTCTTCATGATGTATCTACTCAGCTAACAGAGTTGAACCTTTTTTTTGAGAGAGCAGTATTGAAACACTCTTTTTGTTGGATCTGCAGGTGGATATTTGTCTAGGTTTGAGGATTTCGTTGGAAACGGGATTACATATAAAAAGCAGACAGCAGCATTCCCAGAAACTTCTTTGTGAAGTTTGCATTCAAGTCACAGAGTTGAACATTCCCTTTCATAGAGCAGGTTTGAAACACTCTTTTTGTAGTATCTGTATGTGGACATTTGCAGCGCTTTCAGGCCTATGGTGAAAAAGGAAATATCTTCCCCTGAAAACTAGACAGAAGCATTCTCAGAATCTTATTTGTGATGTGCGCCCTCAACTAACAGTGTTGAAGCTTTCTTTTGATAGAGCAGTTTTGAAACAGTCTTTTTGTAAAATCTGCTAGAGGATATTTGTATAGCTTTGAGGATTTCATTGGAAACGGGATTGTCTTCATATAAACTCTAGACAGAAGCATTCTCAGAAGCGTCATTGGGATGTTTCAATTGAAGTCACAGTGTTGAACAGTCCCTTTCATAGAGCAGGTTTGAAACACTCTTTTTGTAGTATCTGGATGTGGACATTTGGAGCGCTTTCAGGCCTATGGTTTAAAAGGAAATATCTTCCCCTGAAAACTAGACAGAAGCATTCTCAGAAACTTATTTGTGATGTGCGCCCTCAACTAACAGTGTTGAAGCATTCTTTTGATAGAGCAGTTTTGAAACACTCTTTTTGTGGAATCTGCAAGTGGATATTTGTGTAGCTTTGAGGATTTCGTTGGAAACGGGATTACATATAAAAAGCAGACTGCAGCATTCTCAGTAAACTTATTTGTGATGTGCGCCCTCAACTAACAGTGTTGAACCTTTCTTTTGATAGAGCAGTTTTGAAACACTCTTTTTGTAATATCTGCAAGAGGATATTTGGATAGCTTTGAGGATTTCGTTGGAAACGGGATTGTCTTCATATAAACTCTAGACAGAAGCATTCTCAGAAGCTTCATTGGGATGTTTCAATTGAAGTCACACTGTTGAACAGTTCCTTTCATAGAGCAGGTTTGAAACACTCTTTTTGTAGTATCTGGAAGTGGACATTTGGAGCGCTCTCAGGACTACGGTGAAAAAGGAAATATCTTCCAATAAAAGCTACATAGAAGCAATGTCAGAAACTTTTTCATGATGTATCTACTCAGCTAACAGAGTTGAACCTTTCCTTTGAGAGAGCAGTTTTGAAACACTCTTTTTGTGGAATCTGCAAGTGGATATTTGTCTAGCTTTGAGGATTTCGTTGGAAACGGGATTACATATAAAAAGCAGACAGCAGCATTCCCAGAATCTTGTTTGTGATCTTTGCATTCAAGTCACAGAGTTGAACATTCCCTTTCAGAGAGCAGGTTTGAAACACTCTTTTTATAGTATCTGGATGTGGACATTTGGAGCGCTTTCAGGCCTATGGTGAAAAAGGAAATATCTTCTCCTGAAAACTAGACAGAAGCATTCTCAGAAACTTATTTGTGATGTGCGCCCTCAACTAACAGTGTTGAAGCTTTCTTTTGATAGAGCAGTTTTGAAACACTCTTTTTGTAATATCTGCAAGAGGATATTTGGATAGCTTTGAGGATTTCGTTGGAAACGGGATTGTCTTCATATAAACTCTAGACAGAAGCATTCTCAGAAGCGTCATTGGGATGTTTCAATTGAAGTCACAGTGTTGAACAGTCCCTTTCATAGAGCAGGTTTGAAACACTCTTTTTGTAGTATCTGGATGTGGACATTTGGAGCGCTTTCAGGCCTATGGTTTAAAAGGAAATATCTTCCCCTGAAAACTAGACAGAAGCATTCTCAGAAACTTATTTGTGATGTGCGCCCTCAACTAACAGTGTTGAAGCTTTCTTTTGATAGAGCAGTTTTGAAACACTCTTTTTGTGGAATCTGCAAGTGGATATTTGTCTAGCTTTGAGGATTTCGTTGGAAACGGGATTACATATAAAAAGCAGACAGCAGCATTCTCAGAAACTTATTTGTGATGTGCGCCCTCAACTAACAGTGTTGAAGCTTTATTTTGATAGAGCAGTTTTGAAACACTCTTTTTGTAATATCTGCAAGAGAATATTTGGATAGCTTTGAGGATTTCGTTGGAAACGGGATTGTCTTCATATAAACTCTAGAAAGAAGCATTCTCAGAAGCTTCATTGGGATGTTTCAATTGAAGTCACAGTGTTGAACAGTCCCTTTCATAGAGCAGGTTTGAAACACTCTTTTTGTAGTATCTGGAAGTGGACATTTGGAGCGTTCTCAGGACTACGGTGAAAAAGGAAATATCTTCCAATAAAAGCTACATAGAAGCAATGTCAGAAACTTTTTCATGATGTATCTACTCAGCTAACAGAGTTGAACCTTTCTTTTGAGAGAGCAGTTTTGAAACACTCTTTTTGTGGAATCTGCAAGTGGATATTTGTCTAGCTTTGAGGATTTCGTTGGAAACGGGATTACATATACAAAGCAGACAGCAGCATTCCCAGTAACTTCTTTGTGATGTTTGCATTCAAGTCACAGAGTTGAACATTCCCTTTCATAGAGCAGGTTTGAAACACTCTTTTTGTAGTATCTGGATGTGGACATTTGGAGCGCTTTCAGGCCTATGGTGAAAAAGGAAATATGTTCCCCTGAAAACTAGACAGAAGCATTCTCAGAATCTTATTTGTGATGTGCGCCCTCAACTAACAGTGTTGAAGCTTTCTTTTGATAGAGCAGTTTTGAAACACTCTTTTTCTAAAATCTGCAAGAGGATATTTGGATAGCTTTGAGGATTTCGTTGGAAACGGGATTGTCTTCATATAAACTCTAGACAGAAGCATTCTCAGAAGCTTCATTGGGATGTTTCAATTGAAGTCACAGTGTTGAACAGTCCCTTTCATAGAGCAGGTTTGAAACACTCTTTTTGTAGTATCTGGAAGTGGACATTTTGAGCGCACTCAGGACTATGGCGAAAAAGCAAATATCTTCCAATAAAAGCTACATAGAAGCAATGTCAGAAACTTTTTCATGATGTATCTACTCAGCTAACAGAGTTGAACCTTTCTTTTGAGAGAGCAGTTTTGAAACACTCTTTTTGTGGAATCTGCAAGTGGATATTTGTCTAGCTTTGAGGATTTCGTTGGAAACGGGATTACATATAAAAAGCAGACAGCAGCATTCCCAGAATCTTCTTTGTGATGTTTGCATTCAAGTCACAGAGTTGAACATTCCCTTTCATAGAGCAGGTTTGAAACACTCTTTTTATAGTATCTGGATGTGGACATTTGGAGCGCTTTCAGGCCTATGGTGAAAAAGGAAATATATTCTCCTGAAAACTAGACAGAAGCATTCTCAGAAACTTATTTGTGATGTGCGCCCTCAACTAACAATGTTGAACCTTTCTGTTGATAGAGTAGTTTTGAAACACTCTTTTTGTAAAATCTGCAAGAGGATATTTGGATAGCTTTGAGGATTTCGTTGGAAACGGGATTGTCTTCATATTAACCCTAGACAGTAGCATTCTCAGAAGCTTCATTGGGATGTTTCAATTGAAGTCACAGTGTTGAACAGTCCCTTTCATAGAGCAGGTTTGAAACACTCTTTTTGTAGTATCTGGATGTGGACATTTGGAGCGCTTTCAGGCCTATGGTGAAAAAGGAAATATCTTCCCCTGAAAACTAGACAGAAGCATTCTCAGAAACTTATTTGTGATGTGCGCCCTCAACTAACAGTGTTGAACCTTTCTTTTGATAGAACAGTTTTGAAACACTCTTTTTGTAATATCTGCAAGAGGATATTTGGATAGCTTTGAGGATTTCGTTGGAAACGGGATTAATTATAAAAAGCAGACAGCAGCATTCTCAGAATCTTATTTGTGATGTGCGCCCTCAACTAACAGTGTTGAAGCTTTCTTTTGATAGAGCAGTTTTGAAACACTCTTTTTGTAAAATCTGCAAGAGGATATTTGGATAGCTTTGAGGATTTCGTTGGAAACGGGATTGTCTTCATTTAAACTCTAGACAGAAGCATTCTCAGAAGCTTCATTGGGATGTTTCAATTGAAGTCACAGTGTTGAACAGTTCCTTTCATAGAACAGGTTTGAAACACTCTTTTTGTATTATCTGGAAGTGGACATTTTGAGCGCTCTCAGGACTATGGTGAAAAAGGAAATATCTTCCAATAAAAGCTACATAGAAGCAATGTCAGAAACTTTTTCATGATGTATCTACTCAGCTAACAGAGTTGAACCTTTCCTTTGAGAGAGCAGTTTTGAAACACTCTTTTTGTGGAATCTGCAAGTGGATATTTGCTTAGCTTTGAGGATTTCGTTGGAAACGGGATTACATATAAAAAGCAGACAGCAGCATTCCCAGTAACTTCTTTGTGATGTTTGCATTCAAGTCACAGAGTTGAACATTCCCTTTCATAGAGCAGGTTTGAAACACTCTTTTTGTAGTATCTGGATGTGGACATTTGGAGCGCTTTCAGGCCTATGGTGAAAAAGGAAATATCTTCCCCTGAAAACTAGACAGAAGCATTCTCAGAATCTTATTTGTGATGTGCGCCCTCAACTAACAGTGATGAAGCTTTCTTTTGATAGAGCAGTTTTGAAACACTCTTTTTGTAAAATCTGCAAGAGGATATTTGGATAGCTTTGAGGATTTCGTTGGAAACGGGATTGTCTTCATATAAACTCTAGACAGAAGCATTCTCAGAAGCGTCATTAGGATGTTTCAATTGAAGTCACAGTGTTGAACAGTCCCTTTCATAGAGCAGGTTTGAAACACTCTTTTTGTAGTATCTGGATGTGGACATTTGGAGCGCTTTCAGGCCTATGGTTTAAAAGGAAATATCTTCCCCTGAAAACTAGACAGAAGCATTCTCAGAAACTTATTTGTGATGTGCGCCCTCAACTAACAGTGTTGAAGCTTTCTTTTGATAGAGCAGTTTTGAAACACTCTTTTTGTGGAATCTGCAAGTGGATATTTGTCTAGCTTTGAGGATTTCGTTGGAAACGGGATTATATAAAAAGCAGACAGCTAGCATTCTCAGCAAACTTATTTGTGATGTGCGCCCTCAACTAACAGTGTTAAACCTTTCTTTTGATAGAGTAGTTTTGAAACACTCTTTTTGTAAAATCTGCAAGAGGATATTTGGATAGCTTTGAGGATTTCGTTGGAAACAGGATTGTCTTCATATAAACTCTAGACAGTAGCATTCTCAGAAGCTTCATTGGGATGTTTCAACTGAAGTCACAGTGTTGAACATTCCCTTTCATAGAGCAGGTTTGAAACACTCTTTTTGTAGTATCTGGAAGTGGACATTTGGAGCGCTCTCAGGACTACGGTGAAAAAGGAAATATCTTCCAATAAAAGCTAGATAGAAGCAATGTCAGAAACTTTTTCATGATGTATCTACTCAGCTAACAGAGTTGAACCTTTCTTTTGAGAGAGCAGTTTTGAAACACTCTTTTTGTGCAATCTGCAAGTGGATATTTGTCTAGCTTTGAGGATTTCGTTGGAAACGGGATTACATATAAAAAGCAGACAGCAGCATTCCCAGTAACTTCTTTGTGGTGTTTGCATTCAAGTCACAGAGTTGAACATTCCCTTTCATAGAGCAGGTTTGAAACACTCTTTTTGTAGTATCTGGATGTGGACATTTGGAGCGCTTTCAGGCCTATGGTGAAAAAGGAAATATCTTCCCCTGAAAACTAGACAGAAGCATTCTCAGAATCTTATTTTTGATGTGCGCCCTCAACTAACAGTGTTGAAGCTTTCTTTTGATAGAGCAGTTTTGAAACACTCTTTTTGTAAAATCTGCAAGAGGATATTTGGATAGCTTTGAGGATTTCGTTGGAAACGGGATTGTCTTCATATAAACTCTAGACAGAAGCATTCTCAGAAGCTTCATTGGGATGTTTCAATTGAAGTCACAGTGTTGAACAGTCCCTTTCATAGAGCAGGTTTGAAACACTCTTTTTGTAGTATCTGGAAGTGGACATTTAGGAGCGCTCTCAGGACTACGGTGAAAAAGGAAATATCTTCCAATACAAGCTAGATAGAAGCAATGTCAGAAACTTTTTCATGATGTATCTACTCAGCTAACAGAGTTGAACCTTTCTTTTGAGAGAGCAGTTTTGAAACACTCTTTTTGTGGAATCTGCAACTGGATATTTGTCTAGCTTTGAGGATTTCGTTGGAAACGTGATTACATACAAAAAGCAGACAGCAGCATTCCCAGTAACTTCTTTGTGATGTTTGCATTCAAGTCACAGAGTTGAACATTCCCTTTCATAGAGCAGGTTTGAAACACTTTTTTTGTAGTATCTGGATGTGGACATTTGGAGCGCTTTCAGGCCTATGGTGAAAAAGGAAATATCTTCCAATAAAAGCTACATAGAAGCATTCTCAGAAACTTATTTGTGATGTGCGCCCTCAACTAACAGTGTTGAAGCTTTCTTTTGATAGAGCAGTTTTGAAACACTCTTTTTGTAATATCTGCAAGAGGATATTTGGATAGCTTTGAGGATTTCGTTGGAAACGGGATTGTCTTCATATAAACTCTAGGCAGAAGCATTCTCAGAAGCTTCATTGGGATGTTTCAATTGAAGTCACAGTGTTGAACAGTCCCTTTCATAGAGCAGGTTTGAAATACTCTTTTTGTAGTATCTGGAAGTGGACATTTGGAGAGATCTCAGGAATACGGTGATAAAGGAAATATCTTCCAATAAAAGCTAGATAGAAGCAATGTCAGAAAATTTTTCATGATGTATCTACTCAGCTAACAGAGTTGAACCTTTCTTTTGAGAGAGCAGTTTTGAAACACTCTTTTTGTGGAATCTGCAAGTGGATATTTGTCTAGCTTTGAGGATTTCGTTGGAAACGGGATTACATATAAAAAGCAGACAGCAGCATTCCCAGAAACTACTTTGTGATGTTTGCATTCAAGTCACAGAGTTGAACATTCCCTTTCATAGAGGAGGTTTGAAACACTCTTTTTGTAGTATCTGGATGTGGACATTTGGAGCGCTTTCAGGCCTATGGTGAAAAAGGAAATATCTTCCCCTGAAAACTAGACAGAAGCATTCTCAGAATCTTATTTGTGATGTGCGCCCTCAACTAACAGTGTTGAAGCTTTCTTTTGATAGAGCAGTTTTCAAACTCTCTTTTTGTAAAATCTGCAAGAGGATATTTGGATAGCTTTGAGGATTTCTTTGGAAACGGGATTGTCTTCATATAAACTCTAGACAGAAGCATTCTCAGAAGCTTCATTGGGATGTTTCAATTGAAGTCACAGTGTTGAACAGTCCCTTTCATAGAGCAGGTTTGAAACACTCTTTTTGTAGTATCTGGATGTGGACATTTGGAGCGCTTTCAGGCCTATGGTGAAAAAGGAAATATCTTCCCCTGAAAACTAGACAGAAGCATTCTCAGAAACTTATTTGTGATGTGCGCCCTCAACTAACAGTGTTGAAGCTTTCTTTTGATAGAGCAGTTTTGAAACACTCTTTTTGTGGAATCTGCAAGTGGATATTTGTCTAGCTTTGAGGATTTCTTTGGAAACGGGATTACATATAAAAAGCAGACAGCAGCATTCTCAGTAAACTTATTTGTGATGTGCGCCCTCAACTAACAGTGTTGAACCTTTCTTTTGATAGAGCAGTTTTGAAACACTCTTTTTGTAATATCTGCAAGAGGATATTTGGATAGCTTTGAGGATTTCGTTGGAAACGGGATTGTCTTCATATAAACTCTAGACAGAAGCATTCTCAGAAGCTTCATTGGGATGTTTCAATTGAAGTCACAGTGTTGAACAGTCCCTTTCATAGAGCAGGTTTGAAACACTCTTTTTGTAGTATCTGGAAGTGGATATTTGAAGAGTTCTCAGGAACACGGTGAAAAAGGAAATATCTTCCAATAAAAGCTAGATAGAAGCAATGTCAGAAAATTTCTCATGATGTATCTATTCAGCTAACAGAGTTGAACCTTTCTTTTGACAGAGCAGTTTTGAAACACTCTTTTTGTGGAATCTGCAAGTGGATATTTGTCTAGCTTTGAGGATTTCGTTGGAAACGGGATTACATATAAAAAGCAGACAGCAGCATTCCCAGAAACTTCTTTGTGATATTTGCATTCAAGTCACAGACTTGAACATTCCCTTTCATAGAGCAGGTTTGAAACACTCTTTTTGTAGTATCTGGATGTGGACATTTGGAGCGCTTTCAGGCCTATGGTGAAAAAGGAAATATCTTCCCCTGAAAACTAGACAGAAGCATTCTCAGAAACTTATTTGTGATGTGCGCCCTCAACTAACAGTGTTGAAGCTTTCTTTTGATAGAGCAGTTTTGAAACACTCTTTTTGTAAAATCTGCAAGAGGATATTTGGATAGCTTTGAGGATTTCGTTGGAAACGGGATTGTCTTCATATACAATCTAGACAGAAGCATTCTCAGAAGCTTCATTGGGATGTTTCAATTGAAGTTACAGTGTTGAACAGTCCCTTTCATAGAGCAGGTTTCAAACACTCTTTTTGTAGTATCTGGATGTGGACATTTGGAGTGCTTTCAGGCCTATGGTTTAAAAGGAAATATCTTCCCCTGAAAACTAGACAGAAGCATTCTCAGACACTTATTTGTGATGTGCGCCCTCAACTAACAGTGTTGAAGCTTTCTTTTGATAGAGCAGTTTTGAAACACTCTTTTTGTAATATCTGCAAGAGGATATTTGGATAGCTTTGAGGATTTCGTTGGAAACGGGATTAATTATAAAAAGCAGACAGCAGCATTCTCAGAAACTTATTTGTGATGTGCGCCCTCAACTAACAGTGTTGAAGCTTTCTTTTGATAGAGCAGTTTTGAAACACTCTTTTTGTAATATCTGCAAGAGGATATTTGGATAGCTTTGAGGATTTCGTTGGAAACGGGATTAATTATACAAAGCAGACAGCAGCATTCTCAGTAAGCTTCATTGGGATGTTTCAATTGAAGTCACAGTGTTGAACAGTTCCTTTCATAGAACAGGTTTGAAACACACTTTTTGTAGTATCTGGAAGTGGACATTTGGAGGGCTCTCAGGACTATGGTGAAAAATTAAATATCTTCCAATAAAAGCTACATAGAAGCAATGTCAGAAACATTTTCATGATGTATCTACTCAGCTAACAGAGTTGAACCTTTCTTTTGAGAGAGCAGTTTTGAAACACTCTTTTTGTGGAATCTGCAAGTGGATATTTGTCTAGCTTTGAGGATTTCGTTGGAAACGGGATTACATATAAAAACCAGACAGCAGCATTCCCAGAATCTTGTTTGTGATGTTTGCATTCAAGTCACAGAGTTGAACATTCCCTTTCAGAGAGCAGGTTTGAAACACTCTTTTTATAGTATCTGGATGTGGACATTTTGAGCGCTTTCAGGCCTATGGTGAAAAAGGAAATATCTTCTCCTGAAAACTAGACAGAAGCATTCTCAGAATCTTATTTGTGATGTGCGCCCTCAACTAACAGTGTTGAAGCTTTCTTTTGATAGAGCAGTTTTGAACCACTCTTTTTGTAAAATCTGCAAGAGGATATTTGGATAGCTTTGAGGATTTCGTTGGAAACGGGATTGTCTTCATATAAACTCTAGACAGAAGCATTCTCAGAAGCTTCATTGGGATGTTTCAATTGAAGTCACAGTGTTGAACAGTCCCTTTCATAGAGCAGGTTTGAAACACTCTTTTTGTAGTATCTGGATGTGGACATTTGCAGCGCTTTCAGGCCTATGGTGAAAAAGGAAATATCTTCCCCTGAAAACTAGACAGAAGCATTCTCAGAAAATTATTTGAGATGTGCGCCCTCAACTAACAGTGTTGAAGCTTTCTTTTGATAGAGCAGTTTTGAAACACTCTTTTTGTGGAATCTGCAAGAGGATATTTGTCTAGCTTTGAGGATTTCGTTGGAAACGGGATTACATATAAAAAGCAGACAGCAGCATTCTGAGAAACTTATTTGTGATGTGTGCCCTCAACTAACAGTGTTAAACCTTTCTTTTGATAGAGTAGTTTTGAAACACTCTTTTTGTAAAATCTGTAAGAGGATATTTGGATAGCTTTGAGGATTTCGTTGGAAACGGGATTGTCTTCATATAAACTCTAGACAGTAGCATTCTCAGAAGCTTCATTGGGATGTTTCAACTGAAGTCACAGTGTTGAACAGTCCCTTTCATAGAGCAGGTTTGAAACACTCTTTGTAGTATCTGGAAGTGGACATTTGGAGCGCTCTCAGGACTACGGTGAAAAAGGAAATATCTTCCAATAAAAGCTAGATAGAAGCAGTGTCAGAAACTTTTTCATGATGTATCTACTCAGGTAACAGAGTTGAACCTTTCTTTTGAGAGAGCAGTTTTGAAACACTCTTTTTGTGGAATCTGCAAGTGGATATTTGTCTAGCTTTGAGGATTTCGTTGGAAACGGGATTACATATAAAAAGCAGACAGCAGCATTCCCAGAAACTTCTTTGTGATGTTTGCATTCAAGTCACAGAGTTGAACATTTCCTTTCATAGAGCAGGTTTGAAACACTCTTTTTGTAGTATCTGGATGTGGACATTTGGAGCGCTTTCAGGCCTATGGTGAAAAAGGAAATATCTTCCCCTGAAAACTAGACAGAAGCATTCTCAGAAACTTATTTGTGATGTGCACCCTCAACTAACAGTGTTGAAGCTTTCTTTTGACAGAGCAGTTTGAAACACTCTTTTTGTAAAATCTGCAAGAGGATATTTGGATTGTTTGAGGATTTCGGTGGAAATGGGATTGTCTTCATATAAACTCTAGACAGTAGCATTCTCAGAAGCTTCATTGGGATGTTTCAATTGAAGTCACAGTGTTGAACAGTCCCTTTCATAGAGCAGGTTTCAAACACTCTTTTTGTAGTATCTGGATGTGGACATTTGGAGCGCTTTCAGGCCTATGGTTTAAAAGGAAATATCTTCCCCTGAAAACTAGACAGAAGCTTTCTCAGAAACTTATTTGTGATGTGCGCCCTCAACTAACAGTGTTGAAGCTTTCTTTTGATAGAGCAGTTTTGAAACACTCTTTTTGTGGAATCTGCAAGTGGATATTTGTCTAGCTTTGAGGATTTCGTTGGAAACGGGATTACATATAAAAAGCAGACAGCAGCATTCTCAGAAACTTATTTGTGATGTGCGCCCTCAACTAACAGTGTTGAACCTTTCTTTTGACAGAGCAGTTTTGAAACACTCTTTTTGTGAAATCTGCAAGAGGATATTTGGATAGCTTTGAGGATTTCGTTGGAAACGGGATTGTCTTCATATAAAATCTAGACAGAAGCATTCTCAGAAGCTTCATTGGGATGTTTCAATTGAAGTCACAGTGTTGAACAGTCCCTTTCATAGAGCATGTTTGAAACAATCTTCTTGTAGTATCTGGAAGTGGACATTTGGAGCGCTCTCAGGACTACGGTGAAAAAGGAAATATCTTCCAAATAAAGCTAGATAGAAGCAATGTCAGAAACTTTTTCATGATGTATCTACTCAGCTAACAGAGTTGAACCTTCCTTTGAGAGAGCAGTTTTGAAACACTCTTTTTGTGGAATCTGCAAGTGGATATTTGTCTAGCTTTGAGGATTTCGTTGGAAACGGGATTACATATAAAAAGCAGACAGCAGCATTCCCAGAAACTTCTTTGTGATGTTTGCATTCAAGTCACAGAGTTGAACATTCCCTTTCATAGAGCAGGTTTGAAACACTCTTTTTGTAGTATCTGGATGTGGACATTTGGATCGCTTTCAGGCCTATGGTGAAAAAGGAAATATGTTCCCCTGAAAACTAGACAGAAGCATTCTCAGAAACTTATTTGTGATGTGCGCCCTCAACTAACAGTGTTAAACCCTTCTTTTGATAGAGTAGTTTTGAAACACTCTTTTTGTAAAATCTGCAAGAGGATATTTGGATAGCTTTGAGGATTTCGTTGGAAACGGGATTGTCTTCATATAAAATCTAGACAGAAGCATTCTCAGAAGCTTCATTGGGATGTTTCAATTGAAGTCACAGTGTTGAATAGTCCCTTTCATAGAGCAGGTTTGAAACACTCTTTTTGTAGTATCTGGAAGTGGACATTTTGAGCGTTCTGAGGACTACGGTGAAAAAGGAAATATCTTCCAATAAAAGCTAGGTAGAAGCATTCTCAGAAACTTATTTGTGATGTGCGCCCTCAACTAACAGTGTTGAAGCTTTCTTTTGATAGAGCAGTTTTGAAACACTCTTTTTGTGGAATCTGCAAGTGGATATTTGTCTAGCTTTGAGGATTTCGTTGGAAACGGGATTACATATAAAAAGCAGACAGCAGCATTCCCAGAATCTACTTTGTCATGTTTGCATTCAAGTCACAGAGTTGAACATTCCCTTTCATAGAGCAGGTTTGAAACACTCTTTTTATAGTATCTGGATGTGGACATTTGGAGCGCTTTCAGGCCTATGATGAAAAAGGAAATATCTTCTCCTGAAAACTAGACAGAAGCATTCTCAGAAGCTTCATTGGGATGTTTCAATTGAAGTCACAGTGTTGAACAGTCCCTTTCATAGAGCAGGTTTGAAACACTCTTTTTGTAGTATCTGGAAGTGGACATTTGGAGAGATCTCCGGAATACGGTGATAAAGGAAATATCTTCCAATAAAAGCTAGATAGAAGCAATGTCAGAAACTTTTTCATGATGTATCTACTCAGCTAACAGAGTTGAACCTTTCTTTTGAGAGAGCAGTTTTGAAACACTCTTTTTGTGGAATCTGCAAGTGGATATTTGTCTAGCTTTGAGGATTTCGTTGGAAACGGGATTACATATAAAAAGCAGACAGCAGCATTCCCAGAAACTTCTTTGTGATGTTTGCATTCAAGTCACAGAGTTGAACATTCCCTTTCAGAGAGCAGGTTTGAAACACTCTTTTTGTAGTATCTGGATGTGGACATTTGGAGCGCTTTCAGCCCTATGGTGAAAACGGAAATATCTTCCCCTGAAAACTAGACAGAAGCATTCTCAGAAACTTATTTGTGATGTGCCCCCTCAACTAACAGTGTTAAAGCTTTCTTTTGATAGAGTAGTTTTGAAACACTCTTTTTGTAAAATCTGCAATAGGATATTTGGATATCTTTGAGGATTTCGTTGGAAACGGGATTGTCTTCATATAAACTCTAGACTGAAGCATTCTCAGAAGCTTCATTGGGATGTTTCAATTGAAGTCACAGTGTTGAACAGTCCCTTTCATAGAGCAGGTTTGAAACACTCTTTTTGTAGTATCTGGATGTGGACATTTGGAGCGCTTTCAGGCCTATGGTGAAAAAGGAAATATCTTCCCCTGAAAACTAGACAGAAGCATTCTCAGAAACTTTTTTGTGATGTGCGCCCTCAACTAACAGTGTTGAAGCTTTCTTTTGATAGAGCAGTTTTGAAACACTCTTTTTGTGGAATCTGCAAGTGGATATTTGTCTAGCTTTGAGGATTTCGTTGGAAACGGGATTACATATAAAAAGCAGACAGCAGCATTCTCAGTAAACTTATTTGTGATGTGCGCCCTCAACTAACAGTGTTGAACCTTTCTTTTGATAGAGCAGTTTTGAAACACTCTTTTTGTAATATCTGCAAGAGGATATTTGGATAGCTTTGAGGATTTCGTTGGAAACGGGATTGTCTTCATATAAACTCTAGACAGAAGCATTCTCAGAAGCTTCATTGGGATGTTTCAATTGAAGTCACAGTGTTGAACAGTCCCTTTCATAGAGCAGGTTTGAAACACTCTTTTTGTAGTATCTGGAAGTGGACATTTGGAGAGATCTCAGGAATACGGTGATAAAGGAAATATCTTCCAATAAAAGCTAGATAGAAGCAATGTCAGAAACTTTTTCATGATGTATCTACTCAGCTAACAGAGTTGAACCTTTCTTTTGAGAGAGCAGTTTTGAAACACTCTTTTTGTGGAATCTGCAAGTGGATATTTGTCTAGCTTTGAGGATTTCGTTGGAAACGGGATTACATATAAAAAGCAGACAGCAGCATTCCCAGAATCTTCTTTGTGATGTTTGCATTCAAGTCACAGAGTTGAACATTCCCTTTCATAGAGCAGGTTTGAAACACTCTTTTTATAGTATCTGGATGTGGACAATTGGAGCGCTTTCAGGCCTATGGTGAAAAAGGAAATATCTTCTCCTGAAAACTAGACAGAAGCATTCTCAGAAACTTATTTGTGATGTGCGCCCTCAACTAACAGCGTTGAAGCTTTCTTTTGATAGAGCAGTTTTGAAACACTCTTTTTGTAAAATCTGCAAGATGATATTTGGATATCTTTGAGGATTTCATTGTAAACGGGATTGTCTTCATATAAACTCTAGACAGAAGCATTCTCAGAAGCTTCATTGGGATGTTTCAATTGAAGTCACAGTGTTGAACAGTCCCTTTCATAGAGCAGGTTTGAAACACTCTTTTTGTAGTATCTGGATGTGGACATTTGGAGCGCTTTCAGGCCTATGGTGAAAAAGGAAATATCTTCCCCTGAAAACTAGACAGAAGCATTCTCAGAAACTTATTTGTGATGTGCGCCCTCAACTAACAGTGTTGAAGCTTTCTTTTGATAGAGCAGTTTTGAAACACTCTTTTTGTGGAATCTGCAAGTGGATATTTGTCTAGCTTTGAGGATTTCGTTGGAAACGGGATTACATATAAAAAGCAGACAGCAGCATTCTCAGCAAACTTATTTGTGATGTGCGCCCTCAACTAACAGTGTGGAACTTTTCTTTTGATAGAGCAGTTTTGAAACACTCTTTTTGTAAAATCTGCAAGAGGATATTTGGATAGCTTTGAGGATTTCGTTGGAAACGGGATTGTCTTCATATAGAATCTAGACAGAAGCATTCTCAGAAGCTTCATTTGGGATGTTTCAATTGAAGTCACAGTGTTGAACAGTCCCTTTCATAGAGCAGGTTTGAAACACTCTTTTTGTAGTATCTGGAAGTGGACATTTTGAGCGCTCTCAGGACTACGGAGAAAAAGGAAATATCTTCCAATAAAAGCTAGATAGAAGCAATGTCAGAAACATTTTCATGATGTATCTACTCAGCTAACAGAGTTGAACCTTTCTTTTGAGAGAGCAGTTTTGAAACACTCTTTTGGTGGAATCTGCAAGTGGATATTTGTCTAGCTTTGAGGATTTCGTTGGAAACGGGATTACATATAAAAAGCAGACAGCAGCATTCCCAGAATCTTGTTTGTGATGTTTGCATTCAAGTAACAGAGTTGAACATTCCCTTTCAGAGAGCAGGTTTGAAACACTCTTTTTATAGAATCTGGATGTGGACATTTGGAGCGCTTTCAGGCCTATGGTGAAAAAGGAAATATCTTCTCCTGAAAACTAGACAGAAGAATTCTCAGAAACTTATTTGTGATGTGCGCCCTCAACTAACAGTGTTGAAGCTTTCTTTTCATAGAGCAGTTTTGAAACACTCTTTTTGTAAAATCTGCAAGAGGATATTTGGATAGCTTTGAGGATTTCGTTGGAAACGGGATTGTCTTCATATAAACTCTAGACAGAAGCATTCTCAGAAGCTTCATTGGGATGTTTCAATTGAAGTCACAGTGTTGAACAGTCCCTTTCATAGAGCAGGTTTGAAACACTCTTTTTGTAGTATCTGGATGTGGACATTTATGAGCGCTTTCAGGCCTATGGTGAAAAAGGAAATATCTTCTCCTGAAATCTAGACAGAAGCATTCTCAGAAACTTATTTGTGATGTGCGCCCTCAACTAACAGTGTTGAAGCTTTCTTTTGATAGAGCAGTTTTGAAACACTCTTTTTGTGGAATCTGCAAGTGGATATTTGTCTAGCTTTGAGGATTTCGTTGGAAACGGGATTACATATAAAAAGCAGACAGCAGCATTCTCAGAAACTTATTTGTGATGTGCGCCCTCAACTAACAGTGTTGAAGCTTTCTTTTGATAGAGCAGTTTTGAAACACTCTTTTTGTAATATCTGCAAGAGGATATTTGGATAGCTTTGAGGATTTCGTTGGAAACGGGATTAATTATACAAAGCAGACAGCAGCATTCTCAGAAGCTTCATTGGGATGTTTCAATTGAAGTCACAGTGTTGAACAGTTCCTTTCATAGAGCAGGTATGAAACACTCTTTTTGTAGTATCTGGAAGTGGACATTTGGAGAGATCTCAGGAATACGGTGATAAAGGAAATATCTTCCAATAAAAGCTAGATAGAAGCAATGTCAGAAACTTTTTCATGATGTATCTACTCAGCTAACAGAGTTGAACCTTTCTTTTGAGAGAGCAGTTTTGAAACACTCTTTTTGTAAAATCTGCAAGAGGATATTTGGATAGCTTTGAGGATTTCGTTGGAAACGGGATTGTCTTCATATAAACTCTAGACAGAAGAATTCTCAGAAGCTTCATTGGGATGTTTCAATTGAAGTCACAGTGTTGAACAGTCCCTTTCATAGAGCAGGTTTGAAACACTCTTTTTGTAGTATCTGGATGTGGACATTTGGAGCTTTTGCAGGCCTATAGTTTAAAAGGAAATATCTTCCCCTGAAAACTAGACAGAAGCATTCTCAGAAACTTATTTGTGATGTGCCCCCTCAACTAACAGTGTTGAAGCTTTCTTTTGATAGAGCAGTTTTGAAACACTCTTTTTGTGGAATCTGCAAGTGGATATTTGTCTAGCTTTGAGGATTTCGTTGGAAACGGGATTACATATAAAAAGCAGACAGCAGCATTCTCAGAAACTTATTTGTGATGTGCGCCCTCAACTAACAGTGTTGAAGCTTTCTTTTGATAGAGCAGTTTTGAAACACTCTTTTTGTAATATCTGCAAGAGGATATTTGGATAGCTTTGAGGATTTCGTTGGAAACGGGATTAATTATACAAAGCAGACAGCAGCATTCTCAGAAGCTTCATTGGGATGTTTCAATTGAAGTCACAGCGTTGAACAGTCCCTTTCATAGAGCAGGTTTGAAACACTCTTTTTGTAGTATCTGGAAGTGGGCATTTGGAGCGCTCTCAGGACTACGGTGAAAAAGGAAATATCTTCCAATAAAAGCTACATAGAAGCAATGTCAGAAACTTTTTCATGATGTATCTGCTCAGCTAACAGAGTTGAACCTTTCTTTTGAGACAGCAGTTTTGAAACACTCTTTTTGTGGAATCTGCAAGTGGATATTTGTCTAGCTTTGAGGATTTCGTTGGAAACGGGATTACATATAAAAAGCAGACAGCAGCATTCCCAGTAACTTCTTTGTGATGTTTTCATTCAAGTCACAGAGTTGAACATTGCCTTTCATAGAGCAGGTTTGAAACACTCTTTTTGTAGTATCTGGATGTGGACATTTGGAGCGCTTTCAGGCCTATGGTGAAAAAGGAAATATCTTCCCCTGAAAACTAGACAGAAGCATTCTCAGAATCTTATTTGTGATGTGCGCCCTCAACTAACAGTGTTGAAGCTTTCTTTTGATAGAGCAGTTTTGAAACACTCTTTTTGTAAAATCTGCAAGAGGATATTTGGATAGCTTTGAGGATTTCGTTGGAAACGGGATTGTCTTCATATAAACTCTAGACAGAAGCATTCTCAGAAGCTTCATTGGGATGTTTCAATTGAAGTCACAGTGTTGAACAGTCCCTTTCATAGAGCAGGTTTGAAACACTCTTTTTGTAGTATCTGGATGTGGACATTTGGAGCGCTTTCAGGCCTATGGTTTAAAAGGAAATATCTTCCCCTGAAAAATAGACAGAAGCATTCTCAGAAACTTATTTGTGATGTGCGCCCTCAACTAACAGTGTTGAAGCTTTCTTTTGATAGAGCAGTTTTGAAACACTCTTTTTGTGGAATCTGCAAGTGGATATTTGTCTAGCTTTGAGGATTTCGTTGGAAACGGGATTACATATAAAAAGCAGACAGCAGCATTCTCAGTAAACTTATTTGTGATGTGCGCCCTCAACTAACAGTGTTGAACCTTTCTTTTGATAGAGCAGTTTTGAAACACTCTTTTTGTAATATCTGCAAGAGGATATTTGGATAGCTTTGAGGATTTCGTTGGAAACGGGATTGTCTTCATATAAACTCTAGACAGAAGCATTCTCAGAAGCTTCATTGGGATGTTTCAATTGAAGTCACAGTGTTGAACAGTCCCTTTCATAGAGCATGTTTGAAACACTCTTTTTGTAGTATCTGGAAGTGGACATTTGGAGCGTTCTCAGGACTACGGTGAAAAAGGAAATATCTTCCAAATAAAGCTAGATAGAAGCAATGTCAGAAACTTTTTCATGATGTATCTACTCAGCTAACAGAGTTGAACCTTCATTTGAGAGAGCAGTTTTGAAACACTCGTTTTGTGGAATCTGCAAGTGGATATTTGTCTAGCTTTGAGGATTTCGTTGGAAACGGGATTACATATAAAAAGCAGACAGCAGCATTCCCAGAAACTTCTTTGTGATGTTTGCATTCAAGTCACAGAGTTGAACATTCCCTTTCATAGAGCAGGTTTGAAACACTCTTTTTGTAGTATCTGGATGTGGACATTTGCAGCGCTTTCAGGCATAAGGTGAAAAAGGAAATATCTTCCCCTGAAAACTAGACAGAAGCATTCTCAGAAACTTATTTGTGATGTGCGCCCTCAACTAACAGTGTTGAAGCTTTCTTTTGATAGAGCAGTTTTGAAACACTCTTTTTGTAATATCTGCAAGAGGATATTTGGATAGCTTTGAGGATTTCGTTGGAAACGGGATTGTCTTCATATAAACTCTAGACAGAAGCATTCTCAGAAGCTTCATTGGGATGTTTCAATTGAAGTCACAGTGTTGAACAGTCCCTTTCATAGAGCAGGTTTGAAACACTCTTTTTGTAGTATCTGGATGTGGACATTTGGAGCCCTTTCAGGCCTACGGTGAAAAAGGAAATATCTTCCCCTGAAAACTAGACAGAAGCATTCTCAGAATCTTATTTGTGATGTGCGCCCTCAACTAACAGTGTTGAAGCTTTCTTTTGATAGAGCAGTTTTGAAACACTCTTTTTGTGGAATCTGCAAGTGGATATTTGTCTAGTTTTGAGGATTTCGTTGGAAACGGGATTACATATAAAAAGCAGACAGCAGCATTCTCAGCAATCTTATTTGTGATGTGCGCCCTCAACTAACAGTGTTGAAGCTTTCTTTTGATAGAGCAGATTTGAAACACTCTTTTTGTAAAATCTGCAAGAGGATATTTGCATAGCTTTGAGGATTTCATTGGAAACGGGATTGTCTTCAAATAAACTCTAGACAGAAGCATTCTCAGAAGCTTCATTGGGATGTTTCAATTGAAGTCACAGTGTTGAACAGTCCCTTTCATAGAGCAGGTTTGAAACACTCTTTTTGTAGTATCTGGAAGTGGACATTTGGAGCGCTCTCAGGACTACGGTGAAAAAGGAAATATCTTCCAATAAAAGCTACATAGAAGCAATGTCAGAAACTTTTTCATGATGTATCTACTCAGCTAACAGAGTTGAACCTTTCTTTTGAGAGAGCAGTTTTGAAACACTCTTTTTGTGGAATCTGCAACTGGATACTTGTCTAGCTTTGAGGATTTCGTTGGAAACGGGATTACATATAAAAAGCAGACAGCAGCATTCCCAGAAACTTCTTTGTGATGTTTGCATTCAAGTCACAGAGTTGAACATTCCCTTTCAGAGAGCAGGTTTGAAACACTCTTTTTATAGAATCTGGATGTGGACATTTGGAGCGCTTTCAGGCCTATGGTGAAAAAGGAAATATCTTCTCCTGAAAACTAGACAGAAGCATTCTCAGAATCTTATTTGTGATGTGCGCCCTCAACTAACAGTGTTGAAGCTTTCTTTTGATAGAGCAGTTTTGAAACACACTTTTTGTAAAATCTGCAAGAGGATATTTGGATAGCTTTGTGGATTTCATTGGAAACGGGACTGTCTTCATATAAACTCTAGACAGAAGCATTCTCAGAAGCTTCATTGGGATGTTTCAATTGAAGTCACAGTGTTGAACAGTCCCTTTCATAGAGCAGGTTTGAAACACTCTTTTTGTAGTATCTGGAAGTGGACATTTGGAGAGATCTCAGGACTACGGTGAAAAAGGAAATATCTTCCAATAAAAGCTAGATAGAAGCAATGTCAGAAACTTTTTCATGATGTATCTACTCAGCTAACAGAGTTGAACCTTTCTTTTGAGAGAGCAGTTTTGAAACACTCTTTTTGTGGAATCTGCAAGTGGATATTTGTCTAGCTTTGAGGATTTCGTTGGAAACGGGATTACATATAAAAAGCAGACAGCAGCATTCCCAGAAACTTCTTTGTGATGTTTGCATTCACGTCACAGAGTTGAACATTCCCTTTCATAGAGCAGGTTTGAAACACTCTTTTTGTAGTATCTGGAAGTGGACATTTGGAGCGCTCTCAGGACTACGGTGAAAAAGGAAATATCTTCCAATAAAAGCTAGATAGAAGCATTCTCAGAATCTTATTTGTGATGTGTGCCCTCAACTAACAGTGTTGAAGCTTTCTTTTGATAGAGCAGTTTTGAAACACTCTTTTCGTAAAATCTGCAAGAGGATATTTTGATAGCTTTGAGGATTTCGTTGGAAACGGGATTGTCTTCATATAAACTCTAGACAGAAGCATTCTCAGAAGCGTCATTGGGATGTTTCAATTGAAGTCACAGTGTTGAACATTCCCTTTCATAGAGCAGGTTTGAAACACTCTTTTTGTAGTATCTGGATGTGGACATTTGGAGCGCTTTCAGGCCTATGGTTTAAAAGGAAGTATCTTCCCCTGAAAACTAGACAGAAGCATTCTCAGAAACTTATTTGTGATGTGCGCCCTCAACTAACAGTGTTGAAGCTTTCTTTTGACAGAGCAGTTTTGAAACACTCTTTTTATCTGCAAGTGGATATTTGTCTAGCTTTGAGGATTTCGTTGGAAACGGGATTACATATAAAAAGCAGACAGCAGCATTCCCAGAATCTTGTTTGTGATGTTTGCATTCAAGTCACAGAGTTGAACATTCCCTTTCAGAGAGCAGGTTTGAAACACTCTTTTTATAGTATCTGGATGTGGACATTTGGAGCGCTTTCAGGCCTATGGTGAAAAAGGAAATATCTTCTCCTGAAAACTAGACAGAAGCATTCTCAGAATCTTATTTGTGATGTGCGCCCTCAACTAACAGTGTTGAAGCTTTCTTTTGATAGAGCAGTTTTGAAACACTCTTTTTGTAAAATCTGCAAGAGGATATTTGGATAGCATTGAGAATTTCATTGGAAACGGGATTGTCTTCATATAAACTCTAGACAGAAGCATTCTCAGAAGCGTCATTGGGATGTTTCAATTGAAGTCACAGTGTTGAACAGTCCCTTTCATAGAGCAGGTTTGAAACACTCTTTTTGTAGTATCTGGATGTGGACATTTGGAGCGCTTTCAGGCCTATGGTTTAAAAGGAAATATCTTCCCCTGAAAACTAGACAGAAGCATTCTCAGAAACTTATTTGTGATGTGCGCCCTCAACTAACAGTGTTGAACCTTTCTTTTGATAGAGCAGTTTTGAAACACTCTTTTTGTAATATCTGCAAGAGGATATTTGGATAGCTTTGAGGATTTCGTTGGAAACGGGATTAATTATAAAAAGCAGACAGCAGCATTCTCAGAAACTTATTTGTGATGTGCGCCCTCAACTAACAGTGTTGAAGCTTTCTTTTGATAGAGCAGTTTTGAAACACTCTTTTTGTAAAATCTGCAAGAGGATATTTGGATAGCTTGGAGGCTTTCGTTGGAAACGGGATTGTCTTCATATTAACCCTAGACAGTTGCATTCTCAGAAGCTTCATTGGGATGTTTCAATTGAAGTCACAGTGTTGAACAGTCCCTTTCATAGAGCAGGTTTGAAACACTCTTTTTGTAGCATCTGGAAGTGGACATTTGGAGCGTTCTCAGGACTACGGTGAAAAAGGAAATATCTTCCAATAAAAGCTAGATAGAAGCAATGTCAGAAAATTTTTCATGATGTATCTACTCAGCTAACAGAGGTGAACCTTTCTTTGGAGAGAGTAGTTTTGAAACACTCTTTTTGTGGAATCTGCAAGTGGATATTTGTCTAGTTTTGAGGATTGCGTTGGAAACGGTATTACATATAAAAAGCAGACAGCAGCATTCCCAGAAACTTCTTTGTGATGTTTGCATTCAAGTCACAGAGTTGAACATTCCCTTTCATAGAGCAGGTTTGAAACACTCTTTTTGTAGTATCTGGATGTGGACATTTGGAGTGCTTTCAAGCCTATGGTGAAAAAGGAAATATCTTCCCCTGAAAACTAGACAGAAGCATTCTCAGAAACTTATTTGTGATGTGCGCCCTCAACTAACAGTGTTGAACCTTTCTTTTGATAGAGCAGTTTTGAAACACTCTTTTTGTAATATCTGCAAGAGGATATTTGGATAGCTTTGAGGATTTCGTTGGAAACGGGATTGTCTTCATATAAATTCTAGACAGAAGCATTCTCAGAAGCTTCATTGGGATGTTTCAATTGAAGTCACAGTGTTGAACAGTCCCTTTCATAGAGCAGGTTTGAAACACTCTTTTTGTAGTATCTGGAAGTGGACATTTGGAGAGATCTCAGGAATACGGTGATAAAGGAAATATCTTCCAATAAAAGCTAGATAGAAGCAATGTCAGAAACTTTTTCATGATGTATCTACTCAGCTAACAGAGTTGAACGTTTCTTTTGAGAGAGCAGTTTTGAAACACTCTTTTTGTGGAATCTGCAAGTGGATATTTGTCTAGCTTTGAGGATTTCGTTGGAAATGGGATTACATATAAAAAGCAGACAGCAGCATTCCCAGAAACTTCTTTGTGAAGTTTGCATTCAAGTCACAGAGTTGAACATTCCCTTTCATAGAGCAGGTTTGAAACACTCTTTTTGTAGTATCTGTATGTGGACATTTGGAGCGCTTTCAGGCCTATGGTGAAAAAGGAAATATCTTCCCCTGAAAACTAGACAGAAGCATTCTCAGAAACTTATTTGTGATGTGCGCCCTCAACTAACAGTGTTGAACTTTTCTTTTGATAGAGCAGTTTTGAAACACTCTTTTTGTAAAATCTGCAAGAGGTTATTTGGATAGCTTTGAGGATTTCGTTGGAAACGGGATTGTCTTCATATAAATTCTAGACAGTAGCATTCTCAGATGCTTCATTGGGATGTTTCAATTGAAGTCACAGTGTTGAACAGTCCCTTTCATAGAGCAGGTTTGAAACACTCTTTTTGTAGTATCTGGATGTGGACATTTGGAGCGCTTTCAGGCCTATGGTGAAAAAGGAAATATCTTCCCCTGAAAACTAGACAGAAGCATTCTCAGAAACTTATTTGTGATGTGCGCCCTCAACTAACAGTGTTGAAGCTTTCTTTTGATAGAGCAGTTTTGAAACACTCTTTTTGTGGAATCTGCAAGTGGATATTTGTCTAGCTTTGAGGATTTCGTTGGAAACGGGATTACATATAAAAAGCAGACAGCAGCATTCTCAGTAAACTTATTTGTGATGTGCGCCCTCAACTAACAGTGTTGAACCTTTCTTTTGATAGAGCAGTTTTGAAACACTCTTTTTGTAATATCTGCAAGAGGATATTTGGATAGCTTTGAGGATTTCGTTGGAAACGGGATTGTCTTCATATAAACTCTAGACAGAAGCATTCTCAGAAGCTTCATTGGGATGTTTCAATTGAAGTCACATTGTTGAACAGTCCCTTTCATACAGCAGGTTTGAAACACTCTTTTTGTAGTATCTGGAAGTGGACATTTGGAGAGATCTCAGGAATACGGTGATAAAGGAAATATCTTCCAATAAAAGATAGATAGAAGCAATGTCAGAAACTTTTTCATGATGTATCTACTCAGCTAACAGAGTTGAACCTTTCCTTTGAGAGAGCAGTTTTGAAACACTCTTTTTGTGGAATCTGCAAGTGGATATTTGTCTAGCTTTGAGGATTTCGTTGGAAACGGGATTACATATAAAAAGCAGACAGCAGCATTCCCAGAATCTTGTTTGTGATGTTTGCATTCAAGTCACAGAGTTGAACATTCCCTTTCAGAGAGCAGGTTTGAAACACTCTTTTTATAGTATCTGGATGTGGACATTTGGAGCGCTTTCAGGCCTATGATGAAAAAGGAAATATCTTCTCCTGAAAACTAGACAGAAGCATTCTCAGAATCTTATTTGTGATGTGCGCCCTCAACTAACAGTGTTGAAGCTTTCTTTTGATAGAGCAGTTTTGAAACACTCTTTTTATAATATCTGCAAGAGGATATTTTGATAGCTTTGAGGATTTCGTTGGAAACGGGATTGTCTTCATATAAACTCTACAGAGAAGCATTCTCAGAAGCTTCATTGGGATGTTTCAATTGAAGTCACAGTGTTGAACAGTCCCTTTCATAGAGCAGGTTTGAAATACTCTTTTTGTAGTATCTGGAAGTGGACATTTGGAGAGATCTCAGGAATACGGTGATAAAGGAAATATCTTCCAATAAAAGCTAGATAGAAGCAATGTCAGAAACTTTTTCATGATGTATCTACTCAGCTAACAGAGTTGAACCTTTCTTTTGAGAGAGCAGTTTTGAAACACTCTTTTTGTGTAATCTGAAAGTGGATATTTGTCTAGCTTTGAGGATTTCGTTGGAAACGGGATTACATATAAAAAGCAGACAGCAGCATTCCCAGAAACTTCTTTGTGTTGTTTGCATTCAAGTCACAGAGTTGAACATTCCCTTTCATAGAGCAGATTTGAAACACTCTTTTTGTAGTATCTGGATGTGGACATTTGCAGCGCTTTCAGGCCTAAGGTGAAAAAGGAAATATCTTCCCCTGAAAACTAGACAGAAGCATTCTCAGAAACTTATTTGTGATGTGCGCCCTCAACTAACAATGTTGAACCTTTCTGTTGATAGAGTAGTTTTGAAACACTCTTTTCGTAAAATCTGCAAGAGGATATTTGGATAGCTTTGAGGATTTCGTTGGAAACGGGATTGTCTTCATATTAACCCTAGACAGTAGCATTCTCAGAAGGTTCTTTGGGATGTTTCAATTGAAGTCACAGTGTTGAACAGTCACTTTCATAGAGCAGGTTTGAAACACTCTTTTTGTAAAATCCGCAAGAGGATATTTGGATAGCTTTGAGGATTTCGTTGGAAACGGGATTGTCTTCATATAGAATCTAGACAGAAGCATTCTCAGAAGCTTCATTGGGATGTTTCAATTGAAGTCACAGTGTTGAACAGTCCCTTTCATAGAGCAGGTTTGAAACACTCTTTTTGTAGTATCTGGATGTGGACATTTGGAGCGCTTTCAGGCCTATGGTGAAAAAGGAAATATCTTCCCCTGAAAACTAGACAGAAGCATTCTCAGAAACTTATTTGTGATGTGCGCCCTCATCTAACAGTGTTGAAGCTTTCTTTTGATAGAGCAGTTTTGAAACACTCTTTTTATGGAATCTGCAAGAGGATATTTGTCTAGCTTTGAGGATTTCGTTGGAAACGGGATTACATATAAAAAGCAGACAGCAGCATTCTCAGAAACTTATTTGTGATGTGCGCCCTCAACTAACAGTGTTGAAGCTTTCTTTTGATAGAGCAGTTTTGAAACACTCTTTTTGTAATATCTGCAAGAGGATATTTGGATAGCTTTGAGGATTTCGTTGGAAACGGGATTAATTATACAAAGCAGACAGCAGCATTCTCAGAAGCTTCATTGGGATGTTTCAATTGAAGTCACAGTGTTGAACAGTTCCTTTCATAGAACAGGTTTGAAACACTCTTTTTGTAGTATCTGGAAGTGGACATTTGGAGCGCTCTCAGGACTATGGTGAAAAAGGAAATATCTTCCAATAAAAGCTACATAGAAGCAATGTCAGAAACTTTTTCATGATGTATCTACTCAGCTAACAGAGTTGAACCTTTCCTTTGAGAGAGCAGTTTTGAAACTCTCTTTTTGTGGAATCTGCAAGTGGATATTTGTCTAGCTTTGAGGATTTCGTTGGAAACGGGATTACATATAAAAAGCAGACAGCAGCATTCCCAGTAACTTCTTTGTGATGTTTGCATTCAAGTCACAGAGTTGAACATTCCCTTTCATAGAGCAGGTTTGAAACACTCTTTTTGTAGTATCTGGATGTGGACATTTGCAGCGCTTTCAGGCCTATGGTGAAAAAGGAAATATCTTCCCCTGAAAACTAGACAGAAGCATTCTCAGAAACTTATTTGTCATGTGCGCCCTCAACTAACAGTGTTGAACCTTTCTTTTGATAGAGCAGTTTTGATACACTCTTTTTGTAAAATCCGCAAGAGGATATTTGGATAGCTTTGAGGATTTCGTTGGAAACGGGATTGTCTTCATATAGAATCTAGACAGAAGCATTCTCAGAAGCTTCATTGGGATGTTTCAATTGAAGTCACAGTGTTGAACAGTCCCTTTCATAGAGCAGGTTTGAAACACTCTTTTTGTAGTATCTGGAAGTGGACATTTGGAGAGATCTCAGGAATACGGTGAAAAAGGAAATATCTTCTCCTGAAAACTAGACAGAAGCATTCTCAGAAACTTATTTGTGATGTGCGCCCTCAACTAACAGTGTTGAAGCTTTCTTTTGATAGAGCAGTTTTGAAACACTCTTTTTGTGGAATCTGCAAGTAGATATTTGTCTAGGTTTGAGGATTTCGTTGGAAACGGGATTACATATAAAAAGCAGACAGCTAAGCATTCTCCGAAACTTATTTGTGATGGGCGCCCTCAACTAACAGTGTTGAAGCTTTCTTTTGATAGAGCAGTTTTGAAACACTCTTTTTGTAATATCTGCAAGAGGATATTTGGATAGCTTTCAGGATTTCGTTGGAAACGGGATTGTCTTCATATAAACTCTAGACATAAGCATTCTCAGAAGCTTCATTGGGATGTTTCAATTGAAGTCACAGTGTTGAACAGTCCCTTTCATAGAGCAGGTTTGAAACACTCTTTTTGTAGTATCTGGAAGTGGACATTTGGAGCGCTCTCAGGACTACGGTGAAAAAGGAAATATCTTCCAATAAAAGCTAGATAGAAGCAATGTCAGAAAATTTTTCATGATGTATCTACTCACCTAACAGGGTTGAACCTTTCTTTTGAGAGAGCAGTTTTGAAACACTCTTTTTGTGGAATCTGCAAGTGGATATTTGTCTAGCTTTGAGGATTGCGTTGGAAACGGGATTACATATAAAAAGCAGACAGGAGCATTCCCAGAAACTTCTTTGTGATGTTTGCATTCAAGTCACAGAGTTGAACATTCCCTTTCATAGAGCAGGTTTGAAACACTCTTTTTGTAGTATCTGGATGTGGACTTTTGCAGCGCTTTCAGGCCTAAGGTGAAAAAGGAAATATCTTCCCCTGAAAACTAGACAGAAGCTTTCTCAGAATCTTATTTGTGATGTGCGCCCTCAACTAACAGTGTTGAAGCTTTCTTTTGATAGAGCAGTTTTGAAACACTCTTTTCGTAAAATCTGCAAGAGGATATTTTGATAGCTTTGAGGATTTCGTTGGAAACGGGATTGTCTTCATATAAACTCTAGACAGAAGCATTCTCAGAAGCTTCATTGGGATGTTTCAATTGAAGTCACAGTGTTGAACAGTCCCTTTCATAGAGCAGGTTTGAAACACTCTTTTTGTAGTATCTGGATGTGGACATTTGGAGCGCTTTCAGGCCTATGGTGAAAAAGGAAATATCTTCCCCTGAAAACTAGACAGAAGCATTCTCAGAAACTTATTTGTGATGTGCGCCCTCAACTAACAGTGTTGAACCTTTCTCTTGATAGAGCAGTTTTGAAACACTCTTTTTGTAATATCTGCAAGAGGATATTTGGATAGCTTTGAGGATTTCGTTGGAAACGGGATTACATATAAAAAGCAGACAGCAGCATTCTCAGAAACTTATTTGTGATGTGCGCCCTCAACTAACAGTGTTGAAGCTTTATTTTGATAGAGCAGTTTTGAAACACTCTTTTTGTAATATCTGCAAGAGAATATTTGGATAGCTTTGAGGATTTCGTTGGAAACGGGATTGTCTTCATATAAACTCTAGAAAGAAGCATTCTCAGAAGCTTCATTGGGATGTTTCAATTGAAGTCACAGTGTTGAACAGTCCCTTTCATAGAGCAGGTTTGAAACACTCTTTTTGTAGTATCTGGAAGTGGACATTTGGAGAGATCTCAGGAATACGGTGATAAAGGAAATATCTTCCAATAAAAGCTAGATAGAAGCAATGTCAGAAACTTTTTCATGAAGTATCTACTCAGCTAACAGAGTTGAACCTTTCTTTTGAGAGAGCAGTTTTGAAACACTCTTTTTGTGGAATCTGGAAGTGGATATTTGTCTAGCTTTGAGGATTTCGTTGGAAACGGGATTACATATAAAAAGCAGACAGCAGCATTCCCAGTAACTTCTTTGTGACGTTTGCATTCAAGTCACAGAGTTGAACATTCCCTTTCATAGAGCAGGTTTGAAACACTCTTTTTGTAGTATCTGGATGTGGACATTTGGAGCGCTTTCAGGCCTATGGTGAAAAAGGAAATATCTTCCCCTGAAAACTAGACAGAAGCATTCTCAGAAACTTATTTGTGATGTGCGCCCTCAACTAACAGTGTTGAAGCTTTCTTTTGATAGAGCAGTTTTGAAACACTCTTTTTGTAATATCTGCAAGAGGATATTTGGATAGCTTTGAGGATTTCGTTGGAAACGGGATTGTCTTCATATAAACTCTAGGCAGAAGCATTCTCAGAAGCTTCATTGGGATGTTTCAATTGAAGTCACAGTGTTGAACAGTCCCTTTCATAGAGCAGGTTTGAAACACTCTTTTTGTAGTATCTGGAAGTGGACATTTGGAGCGCTCTCAGGACTACGGTGATAAAGGAAATATCTTCCAATAAAAGCTAGATAGAAGCAATGTCAGAAACATTTTCATGATGTATCTACTCAGCTAACAGAGTTGAACCTTTCTTTTGAGAGAGCAGTTTTGAAACACTCTTTTTGTGGAATCTGCAAGTGGATATTTGTCTAGCTTTGAGGATTTCGTTGGAAACGGGATTACATATAAAAACCAGACAGCAGCATTCCCAGAAACTTCTTTGTGAAATTTGCATTCAAGTCACAGACTTGAACATTCCCTTTCATAGAGCAGGTTTGAAACACTCTTTTTGTAGTATCTGGATGTGGACATTTGGAGCGATTTCAGGCCTATGGTGAAAAAGGAAATATCTTCCCCTGCAAACTAGACAGAAGCATTCTCAGAATCTTATTTGTGATGTGCGCCCTCAACTAACAGTGTTGAACTTTTCTTTTGATAGAGCTGTTTTGAAACACTCTTTTTGTAAAATCTGCAAGAGGATATTTGGATAGCTTTGAGGATTTCCTTTGAAACGGGATTGTCTTCATATAAAATCTAGACAGAAGCATTCTCAGAAGCTTCATTGGGATGTTTCAATTGAAGTCACAGTGTTGAACAGTCCCTTTCATAGAGCAGGTTTGAAACACTCTTTTTGTAGTATCTGGATGTGGACATTTGGAGCGCTTTCAGGCCTATGGTTTAAAAGGAAATATCTTCCCCTGAAAACTAGACAGAAAAGCATTCTCAGTAAACTTATTTGTGATGTGCGCCCTCAACTAACAGTGTTGAAGCTTTCTTTTGATAGAGCAGTTTTGAAACACTCTTTTTGTGGAATCTGCAAGTGGATATTTGTCTAGCTTTAAGGATTTCGTTGGAAACGGGATTACATATAAAAAGCAGACAGCAGCATTCTCAGCAAACTTATTTGTGATGTGCGCCCTCAACTAACAGTGTGGAACTTTTCTTTTGATAGAGCAGTTTTGAAACACTCTTTTTGTAAAATCTGCAAGAGGATATTTGGATAGCTTTGAGGATTTCGTTGGAAACGGGATTGTCTTCATATAGAATCTAGACAGAAGCATTCTCAGAAGCTCCATTGGGATGTTTCAATTGAAGTCACAGTGTTGAACAGTCCCTTTCATAGAGCAGGTTTGAAACACTCTTTTTGTAGTATCTGGAAGTGGACATTTGGAGCGCTCTCAGGACCACGGTGAAAAAGGAAATATCTTCCAATAAAAGCTAGATAGAAGCAATGTCAGAAAATTTTTCATGATGTGTCTACTCAGCTAACAGAGTTGAACCTTTCTTTTGAGAGAGCAGTTTTGAAACACTCTTTTTGTGGAATCTGCAAGTGGATATTTGTCTAGCTTTGAGGATTTCGTTGGAAACGGGATTACATATAAAAAGCAGACAGCAGCATTCCCAGAAACTTCTTTGTGATATTTGCATTCAAGTCACAGACTTGAACATTCCCTTCCATAGAGCAGGTTTGAAACACTCTTTTTGTAGTATCTGGATGTGGACATTTGGAGCGCTTTCAGGCCTATGGTGAAAAAGGAAATATCTTCCCCTGAAAACTAGACAGAAGCATTCTCAGAATCTTATTTGTGATGTGCGCCCTCAACTAACAGTGTTGAAGCTTTCTTTTGATAGGGCAGTTTTGAAACACTCTTTTTGTAAAATCTGCAAGAGGATATTTGGATAGCTTTGAGGATTTCGTTGGAAACGGGATTGTCTTCATATAAACTCTAGACAGAAGCATTCTCAGAAGCTTCATTGGGATGTTTCAATTGAAGTTACAGTGTTGAACAGTCCCTTTCATAGAGCAGGTTTGAAACACTCTTTTTGTAGTATCTGGATGTGGATATTTGGAGCGCTTTCAGGCCTATGGTTTAAAAGGAAATATCTTCCCCTGAAAACTAGACAGAAGCCTTCTCAGAAACTTATTGGTGATGTGCGCCCTCAACTAACAGTGTTGAAGCTTTCTTTTGATAGAGCAGTTTTGAAACACTCTTTTTGTGGAATCTGCAAGTGGATATTTGTCTAGCTTTGAGGATTTCGTTGGAAACGGGATTACATATAAAAAGCAGACAGCAGCATTCTCAGAAACTTATTTGTGATGTGCGCCCTCAACTAACAGTGTTGAAGCTTTATTTTGATAGAGCAGTTTTGAAACACTCTTTTTGTAATATCTGCAAGAGAATATTTGGATAGCTTTGAGGATTTCGTTGGAAACGGGATTGTCTTCATATAAACTCTAGAAAGAAGCATTCTCAGAAGCTTCATTGGGATGTTTCAATTGAAGTCACAGTGTTGAACAGTCCCTTTCATAGAGCAGGTTTGAAACACTCTTTTTGCAGCATCTGGAAGTGGACATTTGGAGCGTTCTCAGGACTACGGTGAAAAAGGAAATATCTTCCAATAAAAGCTAGATAGAAGCAATGTGAGAAACTTTTTCATGATGTATCTACTCAGCTAAAAGAGTTGAACCTTTCTTTTGAGAGAGCAGTTTTGAAACACTCTTTTTGTGGAGTCTGCAAGTGGATATTTGTCTAGCTTTGAGGATTTCTTTGGAAACGGGATTACATATAAAAAGCAGACAGCAGCATTCCCAGAAACTTCTTTGTGATGTTTGCATTCAAGTCACAGAGTTGAACATTCCCTTTCATAGAGCAGGTTTGAAACACTCTTTTTGTAGTATCTGGATGTGGACATTTGGAGCGCTTTCAGGCCTATGGTGAAAAAGGAAATATCTTCCCCTGAAAACTAGACAGAAGCATTCTCAGAATCTTATTTGTGATGTGCGCCCTCAACTAACAGTGTTGAAGCTTTCTTTTGATAGACCAGTTTTGAAACACTCTTTTTGTAAAATCTGCAAGAGGATATTTGGATAGCTTTGAGGATTTCGTTGGAAACGGGATTGTCTTCATATAAACTCTAGACAGAAGCATTCTCAGAAGCTTCATTGGGATGTTTCAATTGAAGTCACAGTGTTGAACAGTCCCTTTCATAGAGCAGGTTTGAAACACTCTTTTTGTAGTATCTGGATGTGGACATTTGGAGCGCTTTCAGCCCTATGGTGAAAAAGGAAATATCTTCCCCTGAAAACTAGACAGAAGCATTCTCAGAAACTTATTTGTGATGTGCGCCTTCAACTAACAGTGTTGAAGCATTCTTTTGATAGAGCAGTTTTGAAACACTCTTTTTGTGGAATCTGCAAGTGGATATTTGTCTAGCTTTGAGGATTTCGTTGGAAACGGGATTACATATAAAAAGCAGACAGCAGCATTCTCAGAAACTTATTTGTGATGTGCGCCCTCAACTAACAGTGTTGAAGCTTTCTTTTGATAGAGCAGTTTTGAAACACTCTTTTTGTAATATCTGCAAGAGGATATTTGGATAGCTTTGAGGATTTCGTTGGAAACGGGATTAATTATACAAAGCAGACAGCAGCATTCTCAGAAGCTTCATTGGGATGTTTCAATTGAAGTCACAGTGTTGAACAGTCCCTTTCATTGAGCAGGTTTGAAACACTCTTTTTGTAGTATCTGGAAGTGGACATTTGGAGAGATCTCAGGAATACGGTGATAAAGGAAATATCTTCCAATAAAAGCTAGATAGAAGCAATGTCAGAAACTTTTTCATGATGTATCTACTCAGCTAACAGAGTTGAACCTTTCTTTTGAGAGAGCAGTTTTGAAACACTCTTTTTGTGGAATCTGCAAGTGGATATTTGTCTAGCTTTGAGGATTTCGTTGGAAACGGGATTACATATAAAAAGCAGACAGCAGCATTCCCAGAAACTTCTTTGTGATGTTTGCATTCAAGTCACAGCGTTGAACATTCCCTTTCATAGAGCAGGTTTGAAACACTCTTTTTGTAGTATCTGGATGTGGACATTTGGAGCGCTCTCAGGCCTATGGTGAAAAAGGAAATATCTTCCCCTGAAAACTAGACAGAAGCATTCTCAGAATCTTATTTGTGATGTGCGCCCTCAACTAACAGTGTTGAAGCTTTCTTTTGATAGAGCAGTTTTGAAACACTCTTTTTGTAAAATCTGCAAGAGGATATTTGGATAGCATTGAGGATTTCTTTGGAAACGGGATTGTCTTCATATAAACTCTAGACAGAAGCATTCTCAGAAGCGTCATTGGGATGTTTCAATTGAAGTCACAGTGTTGAACAGTCCCTTTCATAGAGAAGGTTTGAAACACTCTTTTTGTAGTATCTGGATGTGGACATTTGGAGCGCTTTCAGGCCTATGGTTTAAAAGGAAATATCTTCCCCTGAAAACTAGACAGAAGCATTCTCAGAAACTTATTTGTGATGTGCCCCCTCAACTAACAGTGTTGAAGCTTTCTTTTGATAGAGCAGTTTTGAAACACTCTTTTTGTGGAATCTGCAAGTGGATATTTGTCTAGCTTTGAGGATTTCGTTGGAAACGGGATTACATATAAAAAGCAGACAGCAGCATTCTCAGAATCTTATTTGTGATGTGCGCCCTCAACTAACAGTGTTGAAGGTTTCTTTTGATAGAGCAGTTTTGAAACACTCTTTTCGTAAAGTCTGCAAGAGGATATTTTGATAGCTTTGAGGATTTCGTTGGAAACGGGATTGTCTTCATATAAACTCTAGACAGAAGCATTCTCAGAAGCTTCATTGGGATGTTTCAATTGAAGTCACAGTGTTGAACAGTCCCTTTCATAGAGCAGGTTTGAAACACTCTTTTTGTAGTATCTGGAAGTGGACATTTGGAGCGCTCTCAGGACTGCGGTGAAAAAGGAAATATCTTCCAATAAAAGCTAGATAGAAGCAATGTCAGAAACTTTTTCATGATGTATCTACTCAGCTAACAGAGTTGAACCTTCCTTTGAGAGAGCAGTTTAGAAACACTCTTTTTGTGGAATCTGCAAGTGGATATTTGTCTAGCTTTGAGGATTTCGTTGGAAACGGGATTACATATAAAAAGCAGACAGCAGCATTCCCAGAAACTTCTTTGTGATGTTTGCATTCAAGTCACAGAGTTGAACATTCCCTTTCATAGAGCAGGTTTGAAACACTCTTTTTGTAGTATCTGGATGTGGACATTTGCAGCGCTTTCAGGCCTAAGGTGAAAAAGGAAATATCTTCCCCTGAAAACTAGACAGAAGCATTCTCAGAAACTAATTTGTGATGTGCGCCCTCAACTAACAGTGTTGAAGCTTTCTTTTGATAGAGCAGTTTTGAAACACTCTTTTTGTAATATCTGCAAGAGGATATTTGGATATCTTTGAGGATTTCGTTGGAAACGGGATTGTCTTCATATAAACTCTAGACAGAAGCATTCTCAGAAGCTTCATTGGGATGTTTCAATTGAAGTCACAGTGTTGAACAGTCCCTTTCATAGAGCAGGTTTGAAACACTCTTTTTGTAGTATCTGGAAGTGGACATTTGGAGCGCTTTCAGGCCTATGGTTTATAAGAAAATATCTTCCCCTGAAAACTAGACAGAAAGCATTCTCAGAAACTTATTTGTTATGTGCGCCCTCAACTAACAGTGTTGAAGCATTCTTTTGATAGAGCAGTTTTGAAACACTCTTTTTGTGGAATCTGCAAGTGGATATTTGTCTAGCTTTGAGGATTTCGTTGGAAACGGGATTACATATAAAAAGCAGACAGCAGCATTCTCAGCAAACTTATTTGTGATGTGCGCCCTCAACTAACAGTGTGGAACTTTTCTTTTGATAGAGCAGTTTTGAAACACTCTTTTTGTAAAATCTGCAAGAGGATATTTGGATAGCTTTGAGGATTTCGTTGGAAACGGGATTGTCTTCATATAGAATCTAGACAGAAGCATTCTCAGAAGCTTCATTGGGATGTTTCAATTTAAGTCACAGTGTTGAACAGTCCCTTTCATAGAGCAGGTTTGAAACACTCTTTTTGTAGTATCTGGAAGTTGACATTTGGAGCGTTTTCAGGACTACGGTGAAAAAGGAAATATCTTCCAAATAAAGCTAGATAGAAGCAATGTCAGAAACTTTTTCATGATGTATCTACTCAGCAAACAGAGTTGAACCTTTCTTTTGAGAGAGCAGTTTTAAAACACTCTTTTTGTGGAATCTGCAAGTGGATATTTGTCTAGCTTTGAGGATTTCGTTGGAAACGGGATTACATATAAAAAGCAGACAGCAGCATTCCCAGAAACTTCTTTGTGATGTTTGCATTCAAGTCACAGAGTTGAACATTCCCTTTCATAGAGCAGGTTTGAAACACTCTTTTTATAGTATCTGGATGTGGGCATTTGGAGCGCTTTCAGGCCTATGGTGAAAAAGGAAATATCTTCCCCTGAAAACTAGACAGAAGAATTCTCAGAATCTTATTTGTGATGTGCGCCCTCAACTAACAGTGTTGAAGCTTTCTTTTGATAGAGCAGTTTTGAAACACTCTTTTTGTTAAATCTGCAAGAGGATATTTGGATAGCTTTGAGGATTTCGTTGGAAACGGGATTGTCTTCATATAAACTCTAGACAGAAGCATTCTCAGATGCTTCATTGGGACGTTTCAATTGAAGTCACAGTGTTGAACAGTCCCTTTCATAGAGCAGGTTTGAAACACTCTTTTTGTAGTATCTGGATGTGGACATTTGGAACGCTTTCAGGCCTATGGTGAAAAAGGAAATATCTTCCCCTGAAAACTAGACAGAAGCATTCTCAGAAACTTATTTGTGATGTGCGCCCTCAACTAACAGTGTTGAAGCTTTCTTTTGATAGAGCAGTTTTGAAACACTCTTTTTGTGGAATCTGCAAGTGGATATTTGTCTAGCTTTGAGGATTTCGTTGGAAACGGGATTACATATAAAAAGCAGACAGCAGCATTCTCAGAAACTTATTTGTGATGTGCGCCCTAAACTAACAGTGTTGAACCTTTCTTTTGATAGAGCAGTTTTGAAACACTCTTTTTGTAATATCTGCAAGAGGATATTTGGATAGCTTTGAGGATTTCGTTGGAAACGGGATTGACTTCATATAAACTCTAGACAGAAGCATTCTCAGAAGCTTCATTGGGATGTTTCAATTGAAGTCACAGTGTTGAACAGTTCCTTTCATAGAACAGGTTTGAAACACTCTTTTTGTAGTATCTGGAAGTGGACATTTGGAGCGCTCTCAGGACTATGGTGAAAAAGGAAATATCTTCCAATAAAAGCTACATAGAAACAATGTCAGAAACTTTTTCATGATGTATCTACTCAGCTAACAGAGTTGAACCTTTCCTTTGAGAGAGCAGTTTTGAAACACTCTTTTTGTGGAATCTGCAGGTGGATATTTGTCTAGCTTTGAGGATTTCGTTGGAAACGGGATTACATATAAAAAGCAGACAGCAGCATTCCCAGTAACTTCTTTGTGATGTTTGCATTCAAGTCACAGAGTTGAACATTGCCTTTCATAGAGCAGGTTTCAAACACTCTTTTTGTAGTATCTGGATGTGGACATTTGGAGCGCTTTCAGGCCTATGGTGAAAAAGGAAATATCTTCCCCTGAAAACTAGACAGAAACATTCTCAGAATCTTATTTGTGATGTGCGCCCTCAACTAACAGTGTTGAAGCTTTCTTTTGGTAGAGCAGTTTTGAAACACTCTTTTTGTAAAATCTGCAAGAGGATATTTGGATAGCTTTGAGGATTTCGTTGGAAACGGGATTGTCTTCATATAAACTCTAGACAGAAGCATTCTCAGAAGCTTCATTGGGATGTTTCAATTGAAGTCACAGTGTTGAACAGTCCCTTTCATAGAGCAGGTTTGAAACACTCTTTTTGTAGTATCTGGATGTGGACATTTGCAGCGCTTTCAGGCATAAGGTGAAAAAGGAAATATCTTCCCCTGAAAACTAGACAGAAGCATTCTCAGAAACTTATTTGTGATGTGCGCCCTCAACTAACAGTGTTGAAGCATTCTTTTGATAGAGCAGTTTTGAAACACTCTTTTTGTGGAATCTGGAAGTGGATATTTGTCTAAATTTGAGGATTTCGTTGGAAACGGGATTACATATAAAAAGCAGACAGCAGCATTCTCAGTAAACTTATTTGTGATGTGCGCCCTCAACTAACAGTGTTGAACCTTTCTTTTGATAGAGCAGTTTTGAAACACTCTTTTTGTAATATCTGCAAGAGGATATTTGGATAGCTTTGAGGATTTCGTTGGAAACGGGATTGTCTTCATATAAACTCTAGACAGAAGCATTCTCAGAAGCTTCATTGGGATGTTTCAATTGAAGTCACAGTGTTGAACAGTCCCTTTCATAGAGCAGGTTTGAAACACTCTTTTTGTAGTATCTGGAAGTGGACATTTGGAGCGCTCTCAGGACTACGGTGAAAAAGGAAGTATCTTCCAATAAAAGCTAGATAGAAGCAATGTCAGAAACTTTTTCATGATGTATCTACTCAGCTAACAGAGGTGAACCTTTCCTTTGAGAGAGCAGTTTTGAAACACTCTTTTTGTGGAATCTGCAAGTGGATATTTGTCTAGCTTTGAGGATTTCGTTGGAAACGGGATTACATATAAAAAGCAGACAGCAGCATTCCCAGTAACTTCTTTGTGATGTTTGCATTCAAGACACAGAGTTGAACATTCCCTTTCATAGAGCAGGATTGAAACACTCTTTTTGAAGTATCTGGATGTGGACATTTGGAGCGCTTTCAGGCCTATGGTGAAAAAGGAAATATCTTCCCCTGAAAACTAGACAGAAGCATTCTCAGAAACTTATTTGTGATGTGCGCCCTCAACTAACAGTGTTGAAGCTTTCTTTTGATAGAGCAGTTTTGAAACACTCTTTTTGTAATATCTGCAAGAGGATATTTGGATAGCTTTGAGGATTTCGTTGGAAACGGGATTGTCTTCATATAAACTCTAGACAGAAGCATTCTCAGAAGCTTCATTGGGATGTTTCAATTGAAGTCACAGTGTTGAACAGTCCCTTTCATAGAGCAGGTTTGAAACACTCTTTTTGTAGAATCTGGATGTGGACATTTGGAGCGCTTTCAGGCCTATGGTGAAAAACGAAATATCTTCCCCTGAAAACTAGACAGAAGCATTCTCAGAAACCTATTTGTGATGTGCGCCCTCAACTAACAGTGTTGAAGCTTTCTTTTGATAGAGCAGTTTTGAAACACTCTTTTTGTGGAATCTGCAAGTGGATATTTGTCTAGCTTTGAGGATTTCTATGGAAACGGGATTAAATATAAAAAGCAGACAGCAGCATTCTCAGTAAACTTATTTGTGATGTGCGCCCTCAACTAACAGTGTTGAACCTTTCTTTTGATAGAGCAGTTTTGAAACACTCTTTTTGTAATATCTGCAAGAGGATATTTGGATAGCTTTGAGGATTTCGTTGGAAACGGGATTGTCTTCATATAAACTCTAGACAGAAGCATTCTCAGAAGCTTCATTGGGATGTTTCAATTGAAGTCACAGTGTTGAACAGTCCCTTTCATAGAGCAGGTTTGAAACACTCTTTTTGTAGTATCTGGAAGTGGACATTTGGAGCGCTCTCAGAACTGCGGTGAAAAAGGAAATATCTTCCAATAAGAGCTAGATAGAAGCAATGTCAGAAACTTTTTCATGATGTATCTACTCAGCTAACAGAGTTGAACCTTTCTTTTGAGAGAGCAGTTTTGAAACACTCTTTTTGTGGAATATGCAAGTGGATATTTGTCTAGCTTTGAGGATTTCGTTGGAAACGGGATTACATATAAAAAGCAGACAGCAGCATTCCCAGTAACTTCTTTGTGATGTTTGCATTCAAGTCACAGAGTTGAACATTCCCTTTCATAGAGCAGGTTTGAAACACTCTTTTTGTAGTATCTGGATGTGGACATTTGGAGCGCTTTCAGGCCTATGGTGAAAAAGGAAATATCTTCCCCTGAAAACTAGACAGAAGCATTCTCAGAATCTTATTTGTGATGTGCGCCCGCAACTAACAGTGTTGAAGCTTTCTTTTGATAGAGCAGTTTTGAAACACTCTTTTTGTAAAATCTGCAAGAGGATATTTGGATGTCTTTGAGGATTTCTTTGGAAACGGGATTGTCTTCATATAAACTCTAGACAGAAGCATTCTCAGAAGCTTCATTGGGATGTTTCAATTGAAGTCACAGTGTTGAACAGTCCCTTTCATAGAGCAGGTTTGAAACACTCTTTTTGTAGTATCTGGATGTGGACATTTGGAGCGCTTTCAGGCCTATGGTGAAAAAGGAAATATCTTCCCCTGAAAACTAGACAGAAGCATTCTCAGAAACTTATTTGTGATGTGCGCAATCAACTAACAGTGTTGAAGCTTTCTTTTGATAGAGCAGTTTTGAAACACTCTTTTTGTGGAATCTGGAAGTGGATATTTGTCTAGCTTTGAGGATTTCGTTGGAAACGGGATTACATATAAAAAGCAGACAGCAGCATTCTCAGAAACTTATTTGTGATGTGCGCCCTCAACTAACAGTGTTGAAGCTTTATTTTGATAGAGCAGTTTTGAAACACTCTTTTTGTAATATCTGCAAGAGAATATTTGGATAGCTTTGAGGATTTCGTTGGAAACGGGATTGTCTTCATATAAACTCTAGAAAGAAGCATTCTCAGAAGCTTCATTGGGATGTTTCAATTGAAGTCACAGTGTTGAACAGTCCCTTTCATAGAGCAGGTTTGAAACACTCTTTTTGTAGTATCTGGAAGTGGACATTTGGAGCGCTCTCAGGACTACGGTGAAAAAGGAAATATCTTCCAATAAAAGCTACATAGAAGCAATGTCAGAAAATTTTTCATGAGGTATCTACTCAGCTAACAGAATTGAACCTTTCTTTTGAGAGAGCAGTTTTGAAACACTCTTTTTGTGGAATCTGCAGGTGGATATTTGTCTAGCTTTGAGGATTTCGTTGGAAACGGGATTACATATAAAAAGCAGACAGCAGCATTCCCAGAAACTTCTTTGTGATGTTTGCTTTCAAGTCACAGAGTTGAACATTCCCTTTCGTAGAGCAGGTTTGAAACACTCTTTTTGTAGTATCTGGATGTGGACATTTGGAGCGCTTTCAGGCCTATGGTGAAAAAGGAAATATCTTCCCCTGAAAACTAGACAGAAGCATTCTCAGAAACTTATTTGTGATGTACACCCTCAACTAACAGTGTTGAAGCTTTCTTTTGATAGAGCAGTTTGAAACACCCTTTTGGTAAACTCTGCAAGAGGATATTTGGATAGCTTTGAGGATTTCGGTGGAAATGGGATTGTCTTCATATAAAATCTAGACAGTAGCATTCTCAGAAGCTCCATTGGGATGTTTCAATTGAAGTCACAGTGTTGAACAGTCCCTTTCATAGAGCAGGTTTGAAATACTCTTTTTGTAGTATCTGGAAGTGGACATTTGGAGCGCTCTCAGGAATACGGTGAAAAAGGAAATATCTTCCAATAAAAGCTAGATAGAAGCAATGTCAGAAACTTTTTCATGATGTATCTACTCAGCTAACAGAGTTGAACCTTCCTTTGAGAGAGCAGTTTTGAAACACTCTTTTTGTGGAATCTGCAAGTGGATATTTGTCTAGCTTTGAGGATTTCGTTGGAAACGGGATTACATATAAAAAGCAGCCAGCAGCGTTCCCAGAAACTTTTTTGTGATGTTTGCATTCAAGTCACAGAGTTGAACATTCCCTTTCATAGAGCAGGTTTGAAACACTCTTTTTGTAGTATCTGGTTGTGGACATTTGCAGCGCTTTCAGGCCTAAGGTGAAAAAGGAAATATCTTCCCCTGAAAACTAGACAGAAACATTCTCAGAAACTTATTTGTGATGTGCGCCCTCAACTAACAGTGTTGAAGCTTTCTTTTGATAGAGCAGTTTTGAAACACTCTTTTTGTAATATCTGCAAGAGGATATTTGGATAGCTTTGAGGATTTCGTTGGAAACGGGATTGTCTTCATATAAACTCTAGACAGAAGCATTCTCAGAAGCGTCATTGGGATGTTTCAATTGAAGTCACAGTGTTGAACAGTCCCTTTCATAGAGCAGGTTTGAAACACTCTTTTTGTAGTATCTGGATGTGGACATTTGGAGCGCTTTCAGGCCTATGGTTTAAAAGGAAATATCTTCCCCTGAAAACTAGACAGAAGCATTCTCAGAAACTTATTTGTGATGTGCGCCCTCAACTAACAGTGTTGAAGCATTCTTTTGATAGAGCAGTTTTGAAACACTCTTTTTGTGGAATCTGCAAGTGGATATTTGTCTAGCTTTGAGGATTTCGTTGGAAACGGGATTACATATAAAAAGCAGACAGCAGCATTCTCAGAAACTTATTTGTGATGTGCGCCCTCAACTAACAGTGTTGAACCTTTCTTTTGATAGAGCAGTTTTGAAACACTCTTTTTGTAATATCTGCAAGAGGATATTTGGATAGCTTTGAGGATTTCGTTGGAAACGGGATTGACTTCATATAAACTCTAGACAGAAGCATTCTCAGAAGCTTCATTGGGATGTTTCAATTGAAGTCACAGTGTTGAACAGTTCCTTTCATAGAACAGGTTTGAAACACTCTTTTTGTAGTATCTGGAAGTGGACATTTGGAGCGCTCTCAGGACTACGGTGAAAATGGAAATATCTTCCAATAAAAGCTACATAGAAGCAATGTCAGAAACTTTTTCATGATGTATCTACTCAGCTAACAGAGGTGAACCTTTCCTTTGAGAGAGCAGTTTTGAAACACTCTTTTTGTGGAATCTGCAAGTGGATATTTGTCTAGCTTTGAGGATTTCGTTGGAAACGGGATTACATATAAAAAGCAGACAGCAGCATTCCCAGTAACTTCTTTGTGATGTTTGCATTCAAGTCACAGAGTTGAACATTCCCTTTCATAGAGCAGGTTTGAAACACTCTTTTTGTAGTATCTGGATGTGGACATTTGGAGCGCTTTCAGGCCTACGGTGAAAAAGGAAATATCTTTCCCCTGAAAACTAGACAGAAGCATTCTCAGAAACTTATTTGTGATGTGCGCCCTCAACTAACACTGTTGAACCTTTCTTTTGATAGAGCAGTTTTGAAACACTCTTTTTGTAATATCTGCAAGAGGATATTTGGATAGCTTTGAGGATTTCGTTGGAAACGGGATTGTCTTCATATAAACTCTAGACAGAAGCATTCTCAGAAGCTTCATTGGGATGTTTCAATTGAAGTCACAGTGTTGAACAGTCCCTTTCATAGAGCAGGTTTGAAACACTCTTTTTGTAGTATCTGGAAGTTGACATTTGGAGCGCTCTCAGGACTGCGGTGAAAAAGGAAATATCTTCCAATAAAAGCTACATAGAAGCAATGTCAGAAACTTTTTCATGATGTATCTACTCAGCTAACAGAGTTGAACCTTTCTTTTGAGAGAGCAGTTTTGAAACACTCTTTTTGTGGAATCTGCAAGTGGATATTTTGTCTAGCTTTGAGGATTTCGTTGGAAACGGGATTACATATAAAAAGCAGACAGCAGCATTCCCAGAAACTTCTTTGTGAAGTTTGCATTCAAGTCACAGAGTTGAACATTCCCTTTCATAGAGCAGGTTTGAAACACTCTTTTTGTAGTATCTGGATGTGGACATTTGGAGCGCTTTCAGGCCTATGGTGAAAAAGGAAATATCTTCCCCTGAAAACTAGACAGAAGCATTCTCAGAATCTTATTTCTGATGTGCGCCCTCAACTAACAGTGTTGAAGCTTTCTTTTGATAGAGCAGTTTTGAAACACTCTTTTTGTAAAATCTGCAAGAGGATATTTGGATAGCTTTGAGGATTTCGTTGGAAACGGGATTGTCTTCATATAAACTCTAGAAAGAAGCCTTCTCAGAAGCTTCATTGGGATGTTTCAGTTGAAGTCACAGTGTTGAACAGTCCCTTTCATAGAGCAGGTTTGAAACACTCTTTTTGTAGTATCTGGATGTGGACATTTGGAGCGCTCTCAGGACTGCGGTGAAAAAGGAAATATCTTCCAATAAAAGCTAGATAGAAGCAATGTCAGAAACTTTTTCATGACGTATCTACTCAGCTAACAGAGTTGAACCTTTCTTTTCAGAGAGGAGTTTTGAAACACTCTTTTTGTGGAATCTGCAAGTGGATATTTGTCTAGCTTTGAGGATTTAGTTGGAAACGGGATTACATATAAAAAGCAGACAGCAGCATTCCCAGAAACTTCTTTGTGATGTTTGCATTCAAGTCACAGAGTTGAACATTCCCTTTCATAGAGCAGGTTTGAAACACTCTTTTTGAAGAATCTAGATGTGGACAATTGGAGCGCATTCTGGCCTATGGTGAAAAAGGAAATATCTTCCCCTGAAAACTAGACAGGAGCATTCTCAGAAACTTATTTGTGATGTGCGCCCTCAACTAACAGTGTTGAACCTTTCTTTTGATAGAGCAGTTTTGAAATACTCTTTTTGTAAAATCTGCAAGAGGATATTTGGATAGCTTTGAGGATTTCGTTGGAAACGGGATTGTCTTCATATAAACTCTAGACAGAAGCATTCTCAGAAGCGTCATTGGGATGTTTCAATTGAAGTCACAGTGTTGAACAGTCCCTTTCATAGAGCAGGTTTGAAACACTCTTTTTGTAGTATCTGGATGTGGACATTTGGAGCGCTTTCAGGCCTATGGTTTAAAAGGAAATATCTTCCCCTGAAAACTAGACAGAAGCATTCTCAGAAACTTATTTGTGATGTGCGCCCTCAACTAACAGTGTTGAAGCTTTCTTTTGATAGAGCAGTTTTGAAAAACTCTTTTTGTGGAATCTGCAAGTGGATATTTGTCTAGCTTTGAGGATTTCGTTGGAAACGGGATTACATATAAAAAGCAGACAGCAGCATTCTCAGAAACTTATTTGTGATGTGCGCCCTCAACTAACAGTGTTGAAGCTTTATTTTGATAGAGCAGTTTTGAAACACTCTTTTTGTAATATCTGCAAGAGAATATTTGGATAGCTTTGAGGATTTCGTTGGAAACGGGATTGTCTTCATATAAACTCTAGAAAGAAGCATTCTCAGAAGCTTCATTGGGATGTTTCAATTGAAGTCACAGTGTTGAACAGTCCCTTTCATAGAGCAGGTTTGAAACACTCTTTTTGTAGTATCTGGAAGTGGACGTTTGGAGCGCTCTCAGGACTACGGTGAAAAAGGAAATATCTTCCAATAAAAGCTAGATAGAAGCAATGTCAGAAACTTTTTCATGATGTATCTACTCAGCTAACAGAGTTGAACCTTTCCTTTGAGAGAACAGTTTTGAAACACTCTTTTTGTGGAATCTGCAAGTGGATATTTGTCTAGCTTTGAGGATTTCGTTGGAAACGGGATTACATATAAAAAGCAGACAGCAGCATTCCCAGAAACTTCTTTGTGATGTTTGCATTCAAGTCACACAGTTGAACATTCCCTTTCATACAGCAGGTTTGAAACACTCTTTTTGTAGTATCTGGATGTGGACATTTGGAGCGCTTTCAGGCCTATGGTGAAAAAGGAAATATCTTCCCCTGAAAACTAGACAGAAGCATTCTCAGAATCTTATTTGTGATGTGCGCCCTCAACTAACAGTGTTGAAGCTTTCTTTTGATAGAGCAGTTTTGAAACACTCTTTTCGTAAAATCTGCAAGAGGATATTTTGATAGCTTTGAGGATTTCGTTGGAAACGGGATTGTCTTCATATAAACTCTAGACAGAAGCATTCTCAGAAGCTTCATTGGGATGTTTCAATTGAAGTCACAGTGTTGAACAGTCCCTTTGATAGAGCAGGTTTGAAACACTCTTTTTGTAGTATCTGGATGTGGACATTTGCAGCGCTTTCAGGCATAAGGTGAAAAAGGAAATATCTTCCCCTGAAAACTAGACAGAGGCATTCTCAGAAACTTATTTGTGATGTGCGCCCTCAACTAACAGTGTTGAACCTTTCTTTTGATAGAGCTGTTTTGAAACACTCTTTTTGTAATATCTGCAAGAGGATATTTGGATAGCTTTGAGGATTTCGTTGGAAACGGGATTGCATATAAAAAGCAGACAGCAGCATTCTCAGAATCTTATTTGTGATGTGCGCCCTCAACTAACAGTGTTGAAGCTTTCTTTTCATAAAGCAGTTTTGAAACACTCTTTTTGTAAAATCAGCAAGAGGATATTTGGATAGCTTTGAGGATTTCATTGGAAACGGGATTTTCCTCATATAAACTCTAGACAGAAGCATTCTCAGAAGCTTCATTGGGATGTTTCAATTGAAGTCACAGTGTTGAACAGTCCCTTTCATAGAGCAGGTTTGAAACACTCTTTTTGTAGTATCTGGAAGTGGACATTTGGAGCGCTCTCCGGACTACGGTTAAAAAGGAAATATCTTCCAATAAAAGCTACATAGAAGCAATGTCAGAAACTTTTTCATGATGTATCTACTCAGCTAACAGAGTTGAACCTTTCTTTTGAGAGAGCAGTTTTGAAACACTCTTTTTGTGGAATCTGCAAGTGGATATTTGTCTAGCTTTGAGGATTTCGTTGGAAACGGGATTACATATAAAAAGCAGACAGCAGCATTCCCAGAAACTTCTTTGTGATGTTTGCATTCAAGTCACAGAGTTGAACATTCCCTTTCATAGAGCAGGTTTGAAACACTCTTTTTGTAGTATCTGGATGTGGACATTTGCAGCGCTTTCAGGTCTAAGGTGAAAAAGGAAATATCTTCCCCTGAAAACTAGACAGAAGCATTCTCAGAAACTTATTTGTGATGTGCGCCCTCAACTAACAGTGTTGAAGCTTTCTTTTGATAGAGCAGTTTTGAAACACTCTTTTTGTAATATCTGCAAGAGGATATTTGGATAGCTTTGAGGATTTCGTTGGAAACGGGATTGTCTTCATATAAACTCCAGACAGAAGCATTCTCAGAAGCTTCATTGGGATGTTTCAATTGAAGTCACAGTGTTGAACAGTCCCTTTCATAGAGCAGGTTTGAAACACTCTTTTTGTAGTATCTGGATGTGGACATTTGGAGCGCTTTCAGGCCTATGGTTTAAAAGGAAATATCTTCCCCTGAAAACTAGACAGAAGCATTCTCAGAAACTTATTTGTGATGTGCGCCCTCAACTAACAGTGTTGAAGCTTTCTTTTGATAGAGCAGTTTTGAAACACTCTTTTTGTGGAATCTGCAAGTGGATATTTGTCTAGCTTTGAGGATTTCGTTGGAAACGGGATTACATATAAAAAGCAGACAGCAGCATTCTCAGTAAACTTATTTGTGATGTGCGCCCTCAACTAACAGTGTTGAACCTTTCTTTTGATAGAGCAGTTTTGAAACACTCTTTTTGTAATATCTGCAAGAGGATATTTGGATAGCTTTGAGGATTTCGTTGGAAACGGGATTGTCTTCATATAAACTCTAGACAGAAGCATTCTCAGAAGCTTCATTGGGATGTTTCAATTGAAGTCACAGTGTTGAACAGTCCCTTTCATAGAGCAGGTTTGAAACACTCTTTTTGTAGCATCTGGAAGTGGACATTTGGAGCGTTCTCAGGACTACGGTGAAAAAGGAAATATCTTCCAATAAAAGCTAGATAGAAGCAATGTCAGAAACTTTTTCATGATGCATCTACTCAGCTAACAGAGTTGAACCTTTCCTTTGAGAGAGCAGTTTTGAAACACTCTTTTTGTGGAATCTGCAGGTGGATATTTGTCTAGCTTTGAGGATTTCGTTGGAAACGGGATTACATATAAAAAGCAGACAGCAGCATTCCCAGAATCTTCTTTGTGATGTTTGCATTCAAGTCACAGGAGTTGAACATTCCCTTTCATAGAGCAGGTTTGAAACACTCTTTTTATAGTATCTGGATGTGGACATTTGGAGCGCTTTCAGGCCTATGGTGAAAAAGGAAATATATTCTCCTGAAAACTAGACAGAAGCATTCTCAGAATCTTATTTGTGATGTGCGCCCTCAACTAACAGTGTTGAAGCTTTCTTTTGATAGAGCAGTTTTGAAACACTCTTTTTGTAAAATCTGCAAGAGGATATTTGCATAGCTTTGAGGATTTCATTGGAAACGGGATTGTCTTCATATAAACTCTAGACAGAAGCATTCTCAGAAGCTTCATTGGGATGTTTCAATTGAAGTTACAGTGTTGAACAGTCCCTTTCATAGAGCAGGTTTGAAACACTCTTTTTATAGTATCTGGATGTGGACATTTGGAGCGCTTTCAGGCCTATGGTTTAAAAGGAAATATGTTCCCCTGAAAACTAGACAGAAGCATTCTCAGAAACTTATTTGTGATGTGCGCCCTCAACTAACAGTGTTGAAGCATTCTTTTGATAGAGCAGTTTTGAAACACTCTTCTTGTGGAATCTGCAAGTGGATATTTGTCTAGCTTTGAGGATTTCGTTGGAAACGGGATTACATATGAAAAGCAGACAGCAGCATTCTCAGAAACTTATTTGTGATGTGCGCCCTCAACTAACAGTGTTGAAGCTTTCTTTTGATAGAGCAGTTTTGAAACACTCTTTTTGTAATATCTGCAAGAGGATATTTGGATAGCTTTGAGGATTTCGTTGGAAACGGGATTAATTATACAAAGCAGACAGCAGCATTCTCAGAAGCTTCATTGGGATGTTTCAATTGAAGTCACAGTGTTGAACAGTCCCTTTCATAGAGCAGGTTTGAAACACACTATTTGTAGTATCTGGAAGTGGACATTTGCAGCGCTCTCAGGACTGCGGTGAAAAAGGAAATATCTTCCAATAAAAGCTAGATAGAAGCAATGTCAGAAACTTTTTCATGATGTATCTACTCAGCTAACAGAGTTGAACCTTCCTTTGAGAGAGCAGTTTTGAAACACTCTTTTTGTGGAATCTGCAAGTGGATATTTGTCTAGCTTTGAGGATTTCGTTGGAAACGGGATTACATATAAAAAGCAGACAGCAGCATTCCCAGAATCTTCTTTGTGATGTTTGCATTCAAGTCACAGAGTTGAACATTCCCTTTCATAGAGCAGGTTTGAAACACTCTTTTTGTAGTATCTGGATGTGTACATTTGGAGCGCTTTCAGGCCTATGGTGAAAAAGGAAATATCTTCTCCTGAAAACTAGACAGAAGCATTCTCAGAATCTTATTTGTGATGTGCGCCCTCAACTAACAGTGTTGAAGCTTTCTTTTGATAGAGCAGTTTTGAAACACTCTTTTTGTAAAATCTGCAAGAGGATATTTGGATAGCTTTGAGGATTTCGTTGGAAACGGGATTGTCTTCATATAAACTCTAGACAGAAGCATTCTCAGAAGCTTCATTGGGATGTTTCAATTGAAGTCACAGTGTTGAACAGTCCCTTTCATAGAGCAGGTTTGAAACACTCTTTTTGTAGTATCTGGATGTGGACATTTGGAGCGCTTTCAGGCCTATGGTGAAAAAGGAAATATCTTCCCCTGAAAACTAGACAGAAAAGCATTCTCAGTAAACTTATTTGTGATGTGCGCCCTCAACTAACAGTGTTGAAGCTTTCTTTTGATAGAGCAGTTTTGAAACACTCTTTTTGTGGAATCTGCAAGTGGATATTTGTCTAGCTTTAAGGATTTCGTTGGAAACGGGATTACATATAAAAAGCAGACAGCAGCACTCTCAGAAACTTATTTGTGATGTGCGCCCTCAACTAACAGTGTTGAACCTTTCTTTTGATAGAGCAGTTTTGAAACACTCTTTTTGTAATATCTGCAAGAGGATATTTGGATAGCTTTGAGGATTTCGTTGGAAACGGGATTGTCTTCATATAAACTCTAGACAGAAGCATTCTCAGAAGCTTCATTGGGATGTTTCAATTGAAGTCACAGTGTTGAACAGTCCCTTTCATAGAGCAGGTTTGAAACACTCTTTTTGTACTATCTGGAAGTGGACATTTGGAGCGCTCTCAGGACTACGGTGAAAAAGGAAATATCTTCCAATAAAAGCTAGATAGAAGCAATGTCAGAAACTTTTTCATGATGTATCTACTCAGCTAACAGAGTTGAACCTTTCTTTTGAGAGAGCAGTTTTGAAACACTCTTTTTGTGGAATCTGCAAGTGGATATTTGTCTAGCTTTGAGGATTTCGTTGGAAACGGGATTACATATAAAAAGCAGACAGCAGCATTCCCAGAATCTTGTTTGTGATGTTTGCATTCAAGTCACAGAGTTGAACATTCCCTTTCAGAGAGCAGGTTTGAAACACTCTTTTTATAGTATCTGGATGTGGACATTTGGAGCGCTTTCAGGCCTATGGTGAAAAAGGAAATATCTTCTCCTGAAAACTAGACAGAAGCATTCTCAGAAACTTATTTGTGATGTGCGCCCTCAACTAACAGTGTTGAAGCTTTCTTTTGATAGAGCAGTTTTGAAACACTCTTTTTGTAAAATCTGCAAGAGGATATTTGGATAGCTTTGAGGATTTCGTTGGAAACGGGATTGGCTTCATATAAACTCTAGACAGAAGCAATGTGAGAAACTTTTTCATGATGTATCTACTCAGCTAAAAGAGTTGAACCTTTCTTTGAGAGAGCAGTTTTGAAACACTCTTTTTGTGGAATCTGCAAGTGGATATTTGTCTAGCTTTGAGGACTTCTTTGGAAACGGGATTACATATAAAAAGCAGACAGCAGCATTCCCAGAAACTTCTTTGTGATGTTTGCATTCAAGTCACAGAGTTGAACATTCCCTTTCATAGAGCAGGTTTGAAACACTCTTTTTGTAGTATCTGGATGTGGACATTTGGAGCGCTCTCAGGCCTATGGTGAAAAAGGAAATATCTTCCCCTGAAAACTAGATAGAAGCATTCTGAGAAACTTATTTGTGATGTGCGCCCTCAACTAACAGTGTTGAACTTTTCTTTTGATAGAGCAGTTTTGAAACACTCTTTTTGTAAAATCTGCAAGAGGATATTTGGATAGCTTTGAGGATTTCGTTGGAAACGGGATTGTCTTCATATACAATCTAGACAGAAGCATTCTCAGAAGCTTCATTGGGATGTTTCAATTAAAGTCACAGTGTTGAACAGTCCCTATCGTAGAGCAGGTTTGAAACACTCTTTTTGTAATATCTGGAAGTGGAGATTTGGAGCGCTCTCAGGACTACGGTGAAAAAGGAAATATCTTCCAATAAAAGCTAGATAGAAGCAATGTCAGAAACTTTTTCATGATGTATCTACTCAGCTAAAAGTGTTGAACCTTTCTTTTGCGAGAGCAGTTTTGAAACACTATTTTTGTGGAATCTGCAAGTGGATATTTGTCTAGCTTTGAGGATTTCGTTGGAATCGGGATTACATATAAAAAGCAGACAGCAGCATTCCCAGAAACTTCTTTGTGATGTTTGCATTCAAGTCACAGAGTTGAACATTCCCTTTCATAGAGCAGGTTTGAAACACTCTTTTTGTAGTATCTGGATGTGGACATTTGGAGCGCTCTCAGGCCTATGGTGAAAAAGGAAATATCTTCCCCTGCAAACTAGACAGAAGCATTCTCAGAAACTTATTTGTGATGTGCGCCCTCAACTAACAATGTTGAACCTTTCTTTTGATAGAGTAGTTTTGAAACACTCTTTTTGTAAAATCTGCAAGAGGATATTTGGATAGCTTTGAGGATTTCGTTGGAAACGGGATTGTCTTCATATAAACTCTAGAAAGTAGCATTCTCAGAAGCTTCATTCGGATGTTTCAATTGAAGTCACAGTGTTGAACAGTCCCTTTCATAGAGCATGTTTGAAACACTCTTTTTGTAGTATCTGGAAGTGGACATTTGGAGCGTTCTCAGGACTACAGTGAAAAAGGAAATATCTTCCAATAAAAGCTAGATAGAAGCAATGTCAGAAACTTTTTCATGATGTATCTACTCAGCTAACAGAGTTGAACCTTTCTTTTGAGAGAGCAGTTTTGAAACACTCTTTTTGTGGAATCTGGAAGTGGATATTTGTCTAGCTTTGAGGATTTCGTTGGAAACGGGATTACATATAAAAAGCAGACAGCAGCATTCCCAGTAACTTCTTTGTGATGTTTGCATTCAAGTCACAGAGTTGAACATTCCCTTTCATAGAGCAGGTTTGAAAGACTCTTTTTGTAGTATCTGGATGTGGACATTTGGAGCGCTTTGAGGCCTATGGTGAAAAAGGAAATATCTTCCCCTGAAAACTAGACAGAAGCATTCTCAGAATCTTATTTGTGATGTGCGCCCTCAACTAACAGTGTTGAAGCTTTCTTTTGATAGAGCAGTTTTGAAACACTCTTTTTGTAAAATCTGCAAGAGGATATTTGGATAGCTTTGAGGATTTCGTTGGAAACGGGATTGTCTTCATATAAACTCTAGACAGAAGCATTCTCAGAAGCTTCATTGGGATGTTTCAATTGAAGTCACAGTGTTGAACAGTCCCTTTCATAGAGCAGGTTTGAAACACTCTTTTTGTAGTATCTGGATGTGGACATTTGGAGCGCTTTCAGGCCTATGGTTTAAAAGAAAATATCTTCCCCTGAAAACTAGACAGAAGCATTCTCAGAAACTTATTTGTGATGTGCGCCCTCAACTAACAGTGTTGAAGCTTTCTTTTGATAGAGCAGTTTTGAAACACTCTTTTTGTGGAATCTGCAAGTGGATATTTGTCTAGCTTTGAGGATTTCGTTGGAAACGGGAATACATATAAAAAGCAGACAGCAGCATTCCCAGAATCTTCTTTGTGATGTTTGCATTCAAGTCACAGAGTTGAACATTCCCTTTCATAGAGCAGGATTGAAACACTCTTTTTATAGTATCTGGATGTGGACATTTGGAGCGCTTTCAGGCCTATGGTGAAAAGGGAAATATCTTCTCCTGAAAACTAGACAGAAGCATTCTCAGAATCTTATTTGTGATGTGCGCCCTCAACTAACAGTGTTGAAGCTTTCTTTTGACAGAGCAGTTTTGAAACACTCTTTTTATCTGCAAGTGGATATTTGTCTAGCTTTGAGGATTTCGTTGGAAACGGGATTACATATAAAAAGCAGACAGCAGCATTCTCAGTAAACTTATTTGTGATGTGCGCCCTCAACTAACAGTGTTGAACCTTTCTTTTGATAGAGCAGTTTTGAAACACTCTTTTTGTAATATCTGCAAGAGGATATTTGGATAGCTTTGAGGATTTCGTTGGAAACGGGATTGTCTTCATATAAACTCTAGACAGAAGCATTCTCAGAAGCTTCATTGGGATGATTCAGTGGAAGTCACAGTGTTGAACAGTCCCTTTCATAGAGCAGGTTTGAAACACTCTTTTTGTAGTATCTGGAAGTGGACATTTGGAGTGCTCTCAGGACTGCGGTGAAAAAGGAAGTATCTTCCAATAAAAGCTACATAGAAGCAATGTCAGAAACTTTTTCATGATGTATCTACTCAGCTAACAGAGTTTAACCTTTCTTTTGAGAGAGCAGTTTTGAAACATTCTTTTTGTGGAATCTGCAATTGGATATTTCTCTAGCTTTGAGGATTTCGTTGGAAACGGGATAACATATAAAAAGCTACAGCAGCATTCCCAGAAACTTCTTTGTGATGTTTGCATTCAAGTCACAGAGTTGAACATTCCCTTTCATAGAGCAGGTTTGAAACACTCTTTTTGTAGTATCCGGATGTGGACATTTGGAGCGCTTTCAGGCCTATGGTGAAAAAGGAAATATCTTCCCCTGAAAACTAGACAGAAGGAGTCTCAGAAACTTATTTGTGATGTGCGCCCTCAACTAACAGTGTTGAAGCTTTCTTTTGATAGAGCAGTTTTGAAACATTCTTTTTGTAAAATCTGCAAGAGGATATTTGGATAGCTTTGAGGATTTCGTTGGAAACGGGATTGTCTTCATATTAACCCTAGACAGTAGCATTCTCAGAAGCTTCATTGGGATGTTTCAATTGAAGTCACAGTGTTGAACAGTCCCTTTCATAGAGCAGGTTTGAAACACTTTTTTTGTAGCATCTGGAAGTGGACATTTGGAGCGTTCTCAGGACTACGGTGAAAAAGGAAATATCTTCCAATAAAAGCTAGATAGAAGCAATGTCAGAAACTTTTTCATGATGTATCTACTCAGCTAACAGAGTTGAACCTTTCCTTTGAGAGAGCAGTTTTGAAACACTCTTTTTGTGGAATCTGCAAGTGGATATTTGTCTAGCTTTGAGGATTTCGTTGGAAACGGGATTACATATAAAAAGCAGACAGCAGCATTCCCAGAAACTTCTTTGTGAAATTTGCATTCAAGTCACAGAGTTGAACATTCCCTTTCATAGAGCAGGTTTGAAACACTCTTTTTGTAGTATCTGGATGTGGACATTTGGAGCGCTCTCAGGCCTATGGTGAAAAAGGGAATATCTTCCTCTGAAAACTAGACAGAAGCATTCCCAGAATCTTATTTGTGATGTGCGCACTCAACTAACAGTGTTGAAGCTTTCTTTTGATAGAGCAGTTTTGAAACACTCTTTTTGTAAAATCTGCAAGAGGATATTTGGATAGATTTGAGGATTTCGTTGGAAACGGGATTGTCTTCATATAAACTCTAGACAGAAGCATTCTCAGAAGCTTCATTGGGATGTTTCAATTGAAGTCACAGTGTTGAACAGTCCCTTTCATAGAGCATGTTTGAAACAATCTTTTTGTAGTATCTGGAAGTGGACATTTGGAGCGTTCTCAGGACTACGGTGAAAAAGGAAATATCTTCCAAATAAAGCTAGAAAGAAGCAATGTCAGAAACTTTTTCATGATGTATCTACTCAGCTAAAAGAGTTGAACCTTTCTTTTGAGAGAGCAGTTTTGAAACACTCTTTTTGTGGAATCTGCAAGTGGATATTTGTCTAGCTTTGAGGATTTCGTTGGAAACGGGATTTCATATAAAAAGCAGACAGCAGCATTCCCAGAAACTTCTTTGTGATGTTTGCATTCAAGTCACAGAGTTGAACATTCCCTTTCATAGAGCAGGTTTGAAACACTCTTTTTGTAGTATCTGGATGTGGACATTTGGAGCGCTTTCAGGCCTATGGTGAAAAAGGAAATATCTTCCCCTGAAAACTAGACAGAAGCATTCTCAGAATCTTATTTGTGATGTGCGCCCTCAACTAACAGTGTTGAAGCTTTCTTTTGATAGAGCAGTTTTGAAACACTCTTTTTGTAAAATCTGCAAGAGGATATTTGGATAGCTTTGAGGATTTCGTTGGAAACGGGATTGTCTTCATATAAACTCTAGACGAAGCATTCTCAGAAGCCTCATTGGGATGTTTCAATTGAAGTCACAGTGTTGAACAGTCCCTTTCATAGAGCAGGTTTGAAACACTCTTTTTGTAGTATCTGGATGTGGACATTTGGAGCGCTTTCAGGCCTATGGTGAAAAAGGAAATATCTTCCTCTGAAAACTAGACAGAAGCATTCTCAGAAACTTATTTGTGATGTGCGCCCTCAACTAACAATGTTGAACCTTTCTTTTGATAGAGCAGTTTTGAAACACTCTTTTTGTGGAATCTGCAAGTGGATGTTTGTCTAGCTTTGAGGATTTCGTTGGAAACCGGATTACATATAAAAAGCAGACAGCAGCATTCTCAGAAACTTATTTGTGATGTGCGCCCTCAACTAACAGTGTTGAAGCTTTATTTTGATAGAGCAGTTTTGAAACACTCTTTTTGTAATATCTGCAAGAGAATATTTGGATAGCTTTGAGGATTTCGTTGGAAACGGGATTGTCTTCATATAAACTCTAGAAAGAAGCATTCTCAGAAGCTTCATTGGGATGTTTCAATTGAAGTCACAGTGTTGAACAGTGCCTTTCATAGAGCAGGTTTGAAACACTCTTTTTGTAGTATCTGGAAGTGGACATTTGGAGCGCTCTCAGGACTACGGTGAAAAAGGAAATATCTTCTAATAAAAGCTAGATAGAAGCAATGTCAGAAACATTTTCATGATGTATCTACTCAGCTAACAGAGTTGAACCTTTCTTTTCAGAGAGCAGTTTTGAAACACTCTTTTGGTGGAATCTGCAAGTGGATATTTGTCTAGCTTTGAGGATTTCGTTGGAAACGGGATTACATATAAAAAGCAGACAGCAGCATTCCCAGAAACTTCTTTGTGATGTTTGCATTCAAGTCACAGAGTTTAACATTCCCTTTCATAGAGCAGGTTTGAAACACTCTTTTTGTAGTATCTGGATTTGGACATTTGCAGCCCTTTCAGGCCTATGGTGAAAAAGGAAATAACTTCCACTGAAAACTAGACTGAAGTATTCTCAGAAACTTATTTGTGATGTGCGCCCTCAACTAACAGTGTTGAAGCTTTCTTTTGATAGAGCAGTTTTGAAATATTCTTTTTGTAAAAACTGCAAGAAGATATTTGGATAGCTTTGAGGATTTCGTTGGAAACGGGATTGTCTTCATGTTAACCCTAGACAGTAGCATTCCCAGAAACTTCTTTGTGATGTTTGCATTCAAGTCACAGAGTGGAACATTCCGTTTCATAGAGCAGGTTTGAAACACTCTTTTTGTAGTATCTGGATGTGGACATTTGCAGCGCTTTCAGGCCTATGGTGAAAAAGGAAATATCTTCCAATAAAAGCTACATAGAAGCAATGTCAGAAACTTTTTCATGATGTATCTACTCAGCTAACAGAGTTGAACCTTTCTTTTGAGAGAGCAGTTTTGAAACACTCTTTTTGTAAAATCTGCAAGAGGATATTTGGATAGCTTTGAGGATTTCGTTGGAAACGGGATTGTCTTCATATAAACTCTAGACAGAAGAATTCTCAGAAGCTTCATTGGGATGTTTCAATTGAAGTCACAGTGTTGAACAGTCCCTTTCATAGAGCAGGTTTGAAACACTCTTTTTGTAGTATCTGGATGTGGACATTTGGAGCTTTTGCAGGCCTATAGTTTAAAAGGAAATATCTTCCCCTGAAAACTAGACAGAAGCATTCTCAGAAACTTATTTGTGATGTGCGCCCTCAACTAACAGTGTTGAAGCTTTCTTTTGATAGAGCAGTTTTGAAACACTCTTTTTGTGGAATCTGCAAGTGGATATTTGTCTAGCTTTGAGGATTTCGTTGGAAACGGGATTACATATAAAAAGCAGACAGCAGCATTCTCAGAAACTTATTTGTGATGTGCGCCCTCAACTAACAGTGTTGAAGCTTTCTTTTGATAGAGCAGTTTTGAAACACTCTTTTTGTAATATCTGCAAGAGGATATTTGGATAGCTTTGAGGATTTCGTTGGAAACGGGATTAATTATACAAAGCAGACAGCAGCATTCTCAGAAGCTTCATTGGGATGTTTCAATTGAAGTCACAGTGTTGAACAGTCCCTTTCATAGAGCAGGTTTGAAACACTCTTTTTGTAGTATCTGGAAGTGGGCATTTGTAGAGATCTCAGGAATACGGTGATAAAGGAAATATCTTCCAATAAAAGCTAGATAGAAGCAATGTCAGAAACTTTTTCATGATGTATCTACTCAGCTAACAGAGTTGAACCTTTCCTTTGAGAGAGCAGTTTTGAAACACTCTTTTTGTGGAATCTGCAAGTGGATATTTGCTTAGCTTTGAGGATTTCGTTGGAAACGGGATTACATATAAAAAGCAGACAGCAGCATTCCCAGTAACTTCTTTGTGATGTTTGCATTCAAGTCACAGTGTTGAACATTCCATTTCATAGAGCAGGTTTGAAACACTCTTTTTGTGGAATCTGCAAGTGGATATTTGTCTAGCTTTGAGGATTTCGTTGGAAACGGGATTACATATAAAAAGCAGACAGCAGCATTCTCAGTAAACTTATTTGTGATGTGCGCCCTCAACTAACAGTGTTGAACCTTTCTTTTGATAGAGCAGTTTTGAAACACTCTTTTTGTAATATCTGCAAGAGGATATTTGGATAGCTTTGAGGATTTCGTTGGAAACGGGATTGTCTTCATATAAACTCTAGACAGAAGCATTCTCAGAAGCTTCATTGGGATGTTTCAATTGAAGTCATAGTGTTGAACAGTCCCTTTCATAGAGCAGGTTTGAAACACTCTTTTTGTAGTATCTGGAAGTGGACATTTGGAGAGATCTCAGGAATACGGTGATAAAGGAAATATCTTCCAATAAAAGCTAGATAGAAGCAATGTCAGAAACTTTTTCATGATGTATCTACTCAGCTAACAGAGTTGAACCTTTCCTTTGAGAGAGCAGTTTTGAAACACTCTTTTTGTGGAATCTGCAAGTGGATATTTGTCTAGCTTTGAGGATTTCGTTGGAAACGGGATTACATATAAAAAGCAGACAGCAGCATTCCCAGAATCTTGTTTGTGATGTTTGCATTCAAGTCACAGAGTTGAACATTCCCTTTCAGAGAGCAGGTTTGAAACACTCTTTTTATAGAATCTGGATGTGGACATTTGGAGCGCTTTCAGGCCTATGGTGAAAAAGGAAATATCTTCTCCTGAAAACTAGACAGAAGCATTCTCAGAATCTTATTTGTGATGTGCGCCCTCAACTAACAGTGTTGAAGCTTTCTTTTGATAGAGCAGTTTTGAAACACACTTTTTGTAAAATCTGCAAGAGGATATTTTGATAGTTTTGAGGATTTCATTGGAAACGGGACTGTCTTCATATAAACTCTAGACAGAAGCATTCTCAGAAGCTTCATTGGGATGTTTCAATTGAAGTCACAGTGTTGAACAGTCCCTTTCATAGAGCAGGTTTGAAACACTCTTTTTGTAGTATCTGGAAGTGGACATTTGGAGAGATCTCAGGACTACGGTGAAAAAGGAAATATCTTCCAATGAAAGCTAGATAGAAGCATTCTCAGAAACTTATTTGTGATGTGCGCCCTCAACTAACAGTGTTGAAGCATTCTTTTGATAGAGCAGTTTTGAAAAACTCTTTTTGTGGAATCTGCAAGTGGATATTTGTCTAGCTTTGAGGATTTCGTTGGAAACGGGATTTCATATAAAAAGCAGACAGCTAAGCATTCTCCGAAACTTATTTGTGATGGGCGCCCTCAACTAACAGTGTTGAAGCTTTCTTTTGATAGAGCAGTTTTGAAACACTCTTTTTGTAATATCTGCAAGAGGATATTTGGATAGCTTTCAGGATTTCGTTGGAAACGGGATTGTCTTCATATAAACTCTAGACATAAGCATTCTCTGAAGCTTCATTGGGATGTTTCAATTGAAGTCACAGTGTTGAACAGTCCCTTTCATAGAGCATGTTTGAAACACTCTTTTTGTAGTATCTGGAAGTGGACATTTGGAGGGTTCTCAGGACTACGGTGAAAAAGGAAATATCTTCCAATAAAAGCTAGATAGAAGCAATGTCAGAAAATTTTTCATGATGTATCTACTCAGCTAACAGAGTTGAACCTTTCTTTTGATAGAGCAGTTTTGAAACACTCTTTTTGTGGAATCTGCAAGTGGATATTTGTCTAGCTTTGAGGATTTCGTTGGAAACGGGATTACGTATAAAAAGCAGACAGCAGCATTCCCAGAAACTTCTTTGTGATATTTGCATTCAAGTCACAGAGTTGAACATTCCCTTTCATAGAGCAGGTTTGAAACACTCTTTTTGTAGTATCTGGATGTGGACATTTGGAGCGCTTTCAGGCCTATGGTGAAAAAGGAAATATCTTCCCCTGAAAACTAGACAGAAGCATTCCCAGAAACTTCTTTGTGAAATTTGCATTCAAGTCACAGACTTGAACATTCCCTTTCATAGAGCAGGTTTGAAACACTCTTTTTGTAGTATCTGGATGTGGACATTTGGAGCGCTTTCAGGCCTATGGTGAAAAAGGAAATATCTTCCCCAGAAAACTAGACAGAGGCATTCTCAGAATCTTATTTGTGATGTGCGCCCTCAACTAACAGTGTTTAACCTTTCTTTTGATAGAGCAGTTTTGAAACACTCTTTTTGTAATATCTGCAAGAGGATATTTGGATAGCTTTGAGGATTTCGTTGGAAACGGGATTGTCTTCATATAAACTCTAGACAGAAGCATTCTCAGAAGCTTCATTGGGATGTTTCAATTGAAGTCACAGTGTTGAACAGTTCCTTTCATTGAACAGGTTTGAAACACTCTTTTTGTAGTATCTGGAAGTGGACATTTGGAGCGCTCTCAGGACTTCGGTGAAAAAGGAAATATCTTCCAATAAAAGCTACATAGAAGCAATGTCAGAAACTTTTTCATGATGTATCTACTCAGCTAACAGAGTTGAACCTTTCCTTTGAGAGAGCAGTTTTGAAACACTCTTTTTGTGGAATCTGCAAGTGGATATTTGTCTAGCTTTGAGGATTTCGTTGGAAACGGGATTACATATAAAAAGCAGACAGCAGCATTCCCAGAATCTTGTTTGTGATGTTTGCATTCAAGTCACAGATTTGAACATTCCCTTTCAGAGAGCAGGTTTGAAACACTCTTTTTATAGTATCTGGATGTGGACATTTGGAGCGCTTTCAGGCCTATGGTGAAAAAGGAAATATCTTCTCCTGAAAACTAGACAAAAGCATTCTCAGAATCTTATTTGTGATGTGCGCCCTCAACTAACAGTGTTGAAGCTTTCTTTTGATAGAGCAGTTTTGAAACACTCTTTTTGTAAAATCTGCAAGAGGATATTTGGATAGCTTTGAGGATTTCGTTGGAAACGGGATTGTCTTCATATAAACTCTAGCCAGAAGCATTCCCAGTAACTTCTTTGTGAGGTTTGCATTCAAGTGACAGAGTTGAACATTCCCTTTCATAGAGCAGGTTTGAAACACTCTTTTTGTAGTATCTGGATGTGGACATTTGGAGCGCTTTCAGGCCTTTGGTGAAAAAGGAAATATCTTCCAATAAAAGCTACATAGAAGCAATGTCAGAAACTTTTTCATGATGTATCTACTCAGCTAACAGAGTTGAACCTTTCTTTTGAGAGAGCAGTTTTGAAACACTCTTTTTGTGGAATCTGGAAGTGGATATTTGTCTAGCTTTGAGGATTTCGTTGGAAACGGGATTACATATAAAAAGCAGACAGCAGCATTCCCAGAAACTTCTTTGTGATGTTTGCATTCAAGTCACAGAGTTGAACATTCCCTTTCATAGAGCAGGTTTGAAACACTCTTTTTGTAGTATCTGGATGTGGACATTTGGAGCGCTTTCAGGCCTATGGTGAAAAAGGAAATATCTTCCCCTGAAAACTAGACAGAAGCATTCTCAGAAACTTATTTGTGATGTGCGCCCTCAACTAACAGTGTTGAACTTTTCTTTTGATAGAGCAGTTTTGAAACACTCTTTTTGTAATATCTGCAAGAGGACATTTGGATAGCTTTGAGTATTTCGTTGGAAACGGGATTGTCTTCATATAAACTCTAGACAGAAGCATTCTCAGAAGCTTCATTGGGATGTTTCAATTGAAGTCACAGTGTTGAACAGTCCCTTTCATAGAGCAGGTTTGAAACACTCTTTTTGTAGTATCTGGATGTGGACATTTGGAGCGCTTTCAGGCCTATGGTGAAAAAGGAAATATCTTCCCCTGAAAACTAGAGAGAAGCATTCTCAGAAACTTATTTCTGATGTGCGCCCTCAACTAACAGTGTTGAAGCATTCTTTTGATAGAGCAGTTTTGAAACACTCTTTTTGTGGAATCTGTAAGTGGATATTTGTCTAGCTTTGAGGATTTCGTTGGAAACGGGATTACATATAAAAAGCAGACAGCAGCATTCCCAGAATCTTCTTTGTGATGTTTGCATTCAAGTCACAGAGTTGAACATTCCCTTTCATAGAGCAGGTTTGAAACACTCTTTTTATAGTATCTGGATGTGGACATTTGGAGCGCTTTCAGGCCTATGGTGAAAAAGGAAATATCTTCTCCTGAAAACTAGACAGAAGCATTCTCAGAATCTTATTTGTGATGTGCGCCCTCAACTAACAGTGTTGAAGCTTTCTTTTGATAGAGCAGTTTTGAAACACTCTTTTTGTAAAATCTGCAAGAGGATATTTGGATAGCTTTGAGGATTTCGTTGGAAACGGGATTGTCTTCATATAAACTCTAGACAGAAGCATTCTCAGAAGCGTCATTGGGATGTTTCAATTGAAGTCACAGTGTTGAACATTCCCTTTCATAGAGCAGGTTTGAAACACTCTTTTTGTAGTATCTGGATGTGGACATTTGGAGCGCTTTCAGGCCTATGGTTTAAAAGGAAATATCTTCCCCTGAAAACTAGACAGAAGCATTCTCAGAAACTTATTTGTGATGTGCCCCCTCAACTAACAGTGTTGAAGCTTTCTTTTGATAGAGCAGTTTTGAAAAACTCTTTTTGTGGAATCTGCAAGTGGATATTTGTCTAGCTTTGAGGATTTCGTTGGAAACGGGATTACATATAAAAAGCAGACAGCAGCATTCTCAGTAAACTTATTTGTGATGTGCGCCCTCAACTAACAGTGTTGAACCTTTCTTTTGATAGAGCAGTTTTGAAACACTCTTTTTGTAATATCTGCAAGAGGATATTTGGATAGCTTTGAGGATTTCGTTGGAAACGGGATTGTCTTCATATAAACTCTAGACAGAAGCATTCTCAGAAGCTTCATTGGGATGTTTCAATTGAAGTCACAGTGTTGAACAGTCCCTTTCATAGAGCAGGTTTGAAACACTCTTTTTGTAGTATCTGGAAGTGGACATTTGGAGCGCTCTCAGGACTACGATGATAAAGGAAATATCTTCCAATAAAAGCTAGATAGAAGCAATGTCAGAAACTTTTTCATGATGTATCTACTCAGCTAACAGAGTTGAACCTTTCTTTTGAGAGAGCAGTTTTGAAACCCTCTTTTTGTGGAATCTGCAAGTGGATATTTGTCTAGCTTTGAGGATTTCGTTGGAAACGGGATTACATATAAAAAGCAGACAGCAGCATTCCCAGAAACTTCTTTGTGATGTTTGCATTCAAGTCACAGAGTTGAACATTCCCTTTCATAGAGCAGGTTTGAAACACTCTTTTTGTAGTATCTGGATGTGGACATTTGGAGTGCTTTCAAGCCTATGGTGAAAAAGGAAATATCTTCCCCTGAAAACTAGACAGAAGCATTCTCAGAAACTTATTTGTGATGTGCCCCCTCAACTAACAGTGTTAAACCTTTCTTTTGATAGAGTAGTTTTGAAACACTCTTTTTGTAAAATCTGCAATAGGATATTTGGATATCTTTGAGGATTTCGTTGGAAACGGGATTGTCTTCATATAAACTCTAGACTGAAGCATTCTCAGAAGCTTCATTGGTATGTTTCAATTGAAGTCACAGTGTTGAACAGTTCCTTTCATAGAACAGGTTTGAAACACTCTTTTTGTAGTATCTGGAAGTGGACATTTGGAGCGCTCTCAGGAATATGGTGAAAAAGGAAATATCTTCCAATAAAAGCTACATAGAAGCAATGTCAGAAACTTTTTCATGATGTGTCTACTCAGCTAACAGAGTTGAACCTTCCTTTGAGAGAGCAGTTTTGAAACACTCTTTTTGTGGAATCTGCAAGTGGATATTTGTCTAGCTTTGAGGATTTCGTTGGAAACGGGATTACATATAAAAAGCAGACAGCAGCATTCCCAGAAACTTCTTTGTGATGTTTGCATTCAAGTCACAGAGTTGAACATTCCCTTTCATAGAGCAGGTTTGAAACACTCTTTTTGTAGTATCTGGATGTGGACATTTGGAGCGCTTTCAGGCCTATGGTGAAAAAGGAAATATCTTCCCCTGAAAACTAGACAGAAGCATTCTCAGAATCTTATTTGTGATGTGCGCCCTCAACTAACAGTGTTGAAGCTTTCTTTTGATAGAGCAGTTTTGAAACACTCTTTTTGTAAAATCTGCAAGAGGATATTTGGATAGCTTTGAGGATTTCGTTGGAAACGAGATTGTCTTCATATAAACTCTAGACAGAAGCATTCTCAGAAGCTTCATTGGGATGTTTCAATTGAAGTCACAGTGTTGAACAGTCCCTTTCATAGAGCAGGTTTGAAACACTCTTTTTGTAGTATCTGGATGTGGACATTTGGAGCGCTTTCAGGCCTATGGTGAAAAAGGAAATATCTTCCCCTGAAAACTAGACAGAAGCATTCTCAGAAACTTATTTGTGATGTGCGCCTTCAACTAACAGTGTTGAAGCATTCTTTTGATAGAGCAGTTTTGAAACACTCTTTTTGTGGAATCTGCAAGTGGATATTTGTCTAGCTTTGAGGATTTCGTTGGAAACGGGATTACATATAAAAAGCAGACAGCAGCATTCTCAGTAAACTTATTTGTGATGTGCGCCCTCAACTAACAGTGTTGAACCTTTCTTTTGATAGAGCAGTTTTGAAACACTCTTTTTGTAATATCTGCAAGAGGATATTTGGATAGCTTTGAGGATTTCGTTGGAAACGGGATTGTCTTCATATAAACTCTAGACAGAAGCATTCTCAGAAGCTTCATTGGGATGTTTCAATTGAAGTCACAGTGTTGAACAGTCCCTTTCATAGAGCAGGTTTGAAACACTCTTTTTGTAGTATCTGGAAGTGGACATTTGGAGCGCTCTCAGGACTGCGGTGAAAAAGGAAATATCTTCCAATAAAAGCTAGATAGAAGCAATGTCAGAAACTTTTTCATGATGTATCTACTCAGCTAACAGAGTTGAACCTTCCTTTGAGAGAGCACTTTTGAAACACTCTTTTTATGGGATCTGCAAGTGGATATTTGTCTAGCTTTGAGGATTTCGTTGGAAACGGGATTACATATAAAAAGCAGACAGCAGCATTCCCAGAAACTTCTTTGTGATGTTTGCATTCAAGTCACAGAGTTGAACATTCCCTTTCATAGAGCAGGTTTGAAACACTCTTTTTGTAGTATCTGGATGTGGACATTTGGAGCGCTTTCAGGCCTATGGTGAAAAAGGAAATATCTTCCCCTGAAAACTAGACAGAAGCATTCTCAGAATCTTATTTGTGATGTGCGCCCTCAACTAACAGTGTTGAAACTTTCTTTTGATAGAGCAGTTTTGAAACACTCTTTTTGTAAAATCTGTAAGAGGATATTTCGATAGCTTTGAGGATTTCGTTGGAAACGGGATTGTCTTCATATAAACTCTAGACAGAAGCATTCTCAGAAGCTTCATTGGGATGTTTCAATTGAAGTCACAGTGTTGAACAGTCCCTTTCATAGAGCAGGTTTGAAACACTCTTTTTGTAGTATCTGGATGTGGACATTTGGAGCGCTTTCAGGCCTATGGTGAAAAAGGAAATATCTTCCCCTGAAAACTAGACAGAAGCATTCTCAGAAACTTATTTGTGATGTGCGCCCTCAACTAACAGTGTTGAAGCTTTCTTTTGATAGAGCAGTTTTGAAACACTCTTTTTGTGGAATCTGCAAGTGGATATTTGTCTAGCTTTGAGGATTTCGTTGGAAACGGGATTACATATAAAAAGCAGACAGCAGCATTCTCAGAAACTTATTTGTGATGTGCGCCCTCAACTAACAGTGTTGAAGCTTTCTTTTGATAGAGCAGTTTTGAAACACTCTTTTTGTAATATCTGCAAGAGGATATTTGGATAGCTTTGAGGATTTCGTTGGAAACGGGATTAATTATACAAAGCAGACAGCAGCATTCTCAGAAGCTTCATTGGGATGTTTCAATTGAAGTCACAGTGTTGAACAGTTCCTTTCATAGAACAGGTTTGATACACTCTTTTTGTAGTATCTGGAAGTGGACATTTGGAGGGCTCTCAGGACTATGGTGAAAAATTAAATATCTTCCAATAAAAGCTACATAGAAGCAATGTCAGAAACTTTTTCATGATGTATCTACTCAGCTAACAGAGTTGAACCTTTCTTTTGAGAGAGCAGTTTTGAAACACTCTTTTTGTGGAATCTGCAAGTGGATATTTGTCTAGCTTTGAGGATTTCGTTGGAAACGGGATTACATATAAAAACACAAAGCAGCATTCCCAGTAACTTCTTTGTGAAGTTTGCATTCAAGTCACAGAGTTGAACATTCCCTTTCATAGAGCAGGTTTGAAACACTCTTTTTGTAGTATCTGTATGTGGACATTTGGAGCGCTTTCAGGCCTATGGTGAAAAAGGAAATATCTTCCCCTGAAAACTAGACTGAAGCATTCTCAGAAACTTATTTGTGATGTGCGCCCTCAACTAACAGTGTTGAAGCTTTCTTTTGATAGAGCAGTTTTGAAACACTCTTTTTGTAATATCTGCAAGAGGATATTTGGATAGCTTTGAGGATTTCGTTGGAAACGGGATTGTCTTCATATAAACTCTAGACAGAAGCATTCTCAGAAGCTTCATTGGGATGTTTCAATTGAAGTCACAGTGTTGAACAGTCCCTTTCATAGAGCAGGTTTGAAACACTCTTTTTGTAGAATCTGGATGTGGACATTTGGAGCGCTTTCAGGCCTATGGTTTAAAAGGAAATATCTTCCCCTGAAAACTAGACAGAAGCATTCTCAGAAACTTATTTGTGATGTGCGCCCTCAACTAACAGTGCTGAAGCATTCTTTTGATAGAGCAGTTTTGAAACACTCTTTTTGTGGAATCTGGAAGTGGATATTTGTCTAAATTTGAGGATTTCGTTGGAAACGGGATTACATATAAAAAGCAGACAGCAGCATTCTCAGAAACTTATTTGTGATGTGCGCCCTCAACTAACAGTGTTGAAGCTTTCTTTTGATAGAGCAGTTTTGAAACACTCTTTTTGTAATATCTGCAAGAGGATATTTGGATAGCTTTGAGGATTTCGTTGGAAACGGGATTAATTATACAAAGCAGACAGCAGCATTCTCAGAAGCTTCATTGGGATGTTTCAATTGAAGTCACAGTGTTGAACACTCCCTTTCATAGAGCAGGTTTGAAACACTCTTTTTGTAGTATCTGGAAGTGGACATTTGGAGAGATCTCAGGAATACGGTGATAAAGGAAATATCTTCCAATAAAAGCTAGATAGAAGCAATGTCAGAAACTTTTTCATGATGTATCTACTCAGCTAACAGAGTTGAACCTTTCCTTTGAGAGAGCAGTTTTGAAACACTCTTTTTGTGGAATCTGCAAGTGGATATTTGTCTAGCTTTGAGGATTTCGTTGGAAACGGGATTACATATAAAAAGCAGACAGCAGCATTCCCAGAAACTTCTTTGTGATGTTTGCATTCAAGTCACAGAGTTGAACATTCCCTTTCATAGAGCAGGTCTGAAACACTCTTTTTGTAGTATCTGGAAGTGGACATTTGGAGCGCTCTCAGGACTACGGTGAAAAAGGAAATATCTTCCAATAAAAGCTAGATAGAAGCATTCTCAGAATCTTATTTCTGATGTGCGCCCTCAACTAACAGTGTTGAAGCTTTCTTTTGATAGAGCAGTTTTGAAACACTCTTTTTGTAAAATCTGCAAGAGGATATTTGGATAGCTTTGAGGATTTCGTTGGAAACGGGATTGTCTTCATATAAACTCTAGACAGAAGCATTCTCAGAAGCTTCATTGGGATGTTTCAGTTGAAGTCACAGTGTTGAACATTCCCTTTCATAGAGCAGGTTTGAAACACTCTTTTTGTAGTATCTGGAAGTGGACATTTTGAGCGCTCTCAGAACTGCGGTGAAAAAGGAAATATCTTCCAATAAAAGCTAGATAGAAGCAATGTCAGAAACTTTTTCATGATGTATCTACTCAGCTAACAGAGTTGAACCTTCCTTTGAGAGAGCAGTTTTGAAACACTCTTTTTGTGGAATCTGCAAGTGGATATTTGTCTAGCTTTGAGGATTTCGTTGGAAACGGGATTACATATAAAAAGCAGACAGCAGCATTCCCAGAATCTTCTTTGTGATGTTTGCATTCAAGTCACAGAGTTGAACATTCCCTTTCATAGAGCAGGTTTGAAACACTCTTTTTGTAGTATCTGGATGTGGACATTTGGAGCGCTTTCAGGCCTATGGTGAAAAAGGAAATATACTTCCCCTGAGAACTAGACAGAAGCATTCTCAGAAACTTATTTGTGATGTGCGCCGTCAACTAACAAGTGTTGAACCTTTCTTTTGATAGAGCAGTTTTGAAACACGCTTTTTGTAAAATCTGCAAGAAGATATTTGGATAGCTTTGAGTATTTCGTTGGAAACGGGATTGTCTTCATATAAACTCTAGACAGTAGCATTCTCAGAAGCTTCATTGGGATGTTTCAATTGAAGTCACAGTGTTGAACAGTCCCTTTCATAGAGCAGGTTTGAAACACTCTTTTTGTAGTATCTGGAAGTGGACATTTGGAGCGCTCTCAGGACTACGGTGAAAAAGGAAGTATCTTCCAAAAAAAGCTAGATAGAAGCAATGTCAGAAACTTTTTCATGGTGTATCTACTCAGCTAACAGAGTTGAACCTTTCTTTTGAGAGAGCAGTTTTGAAACACTCTTTTTGTGGAATCTGCAAGTGGATATTTGTCTAGCTTTGAGGATTTCGTTGGAAACGGGATTACATATAAAAAGCAGACAGCAGCATTCCCAGAAACTTCTTTGTGACGTTTGCATTCAAGTCACAGAGTTGAACATTCCCTTTCATAGAGCAGGTTTGAAACACTCTTTTTGTAGTATCTGGATGTGGACATTTGGAGCGCTTTCAGGCCTATGGTGAAAAAGGAAATATCTTCCCCTGAAAACTAGACAGAAGCATTCTCAGAAACTTATTTGTGATGTGCGCCCTCAACTAACAGTGTTGAACCTTTCTTTTGATAGAGCAGTTTTGAAACACTCTTTTTGTAATATCTGCAAGAGGATATTTGGATAGCTTTGAGGATTTCGTTGGAAACGGGATTACATATAAAAAGCAGACAGCAGCATTCTCAGTAAACTTATTTGTGATGTGCGCCCTCAACTAACAGTGTTGAACCTTTCTTTTGATAGAGCAGTTTTGAAACACTCTTTTTGTAATATCTGCAAGAGGATATTTGGATAGCTTTGAGGATTTCGTTGGAAACGGGATTGTCTTCATATAAACTCTAGACAGAAGCATTCTCAGAAGCTTCATTGGGATGTTTCAATTGAAGTCACAGTGTTGATGAGTCCCTTTCATAGAGCAGGTTTGAAACACTCTTTTTGTAGTATCTGGAAGTGGACATTTGGAGAGTTCTCAGGACTACGGTGAAAAAGGAAATATCTTCCAATAAAAGCTAGACAGAAGCAATGTCAGAAAATTTTTCATGATGTATCTATTCAGCTAACAGAGTTGAACCTTTCTTTTGACAGAGCAGTTTTGAAACACTCTTTTTGTGGAATCTGCAAGTGGATATTTGTCTAGCTTTGAGGATTTCGTTGGAAACGGGATTACATATAAAAAGCAGACAGCAGCATTCCCAGAAACTTCTTTGTGATGTTTGCATTCAAGTCACAGAGTTGAACATTCCCTTTCATAGAGCAGGTTTGAAACACTCTTTTTGTAGTATCTGGATGTGGACATTTGGAGCGCTTTCAGGCCTATGGTGAAAAAGGAAATATCTTCCCCTGAAAACTAGACAGAAGCATTCTCAGAAACTTATTTGTGATGTGCGCCCTCAACTAACAGTGTTGAAGCTTTCTTTTGATAGAGCAGTTTTGAAACACTCTTTTTGTAATATCTGCAAGAGGATATTTGGATAGCTTTGAGGATTTCGTTGGAAACGGGATTGTCTTCATATAAACTCTAGGCAGAAGCATTCTCAGAAGCTTCATTGGGATGTTTCAATTGAAGTCACAGTGTTGAACAGTCCCTTTCATAGAGCAGGTTTGAAACACTCTTTTTGTAGTATCTGGAAGTGGACATTTGGAGAGATCTCAGGAATACGGTGATAAAGGAAATATCTTCCAATAAAAGATAGATAGAAGCAATGTCAGAAACTTTTTCATGATGTATCTACTCAGCTAACAGAGTTGAACCTTTCTTTTGAGAGAGCAGTTTTGAAACACTCTTTTTGTGGAATCTGCAAGTGGATATTTGTCTAGCTTTGAGGATTTCGTTGGAAACGGGATTACACATAAAAAGCAGACAGCAGCATTCCCAGAAAGTTCTTTGTGAAATTTGCATTCAAGTCACAGAGTTGAACATTCCGTTTCATAGAGCAGGTTTGAAACACTCTTTTTGTAGTATCTGGATGTGGACATTTGGAGCGCTTTCAGGCCTATGGTGGAAAAGGAAATATCTTCCACTGAAAACTAGACAGAAGCATTCTCAGAAACTTATTTGTGATGTGCGCCCTCAACTAACAGTGTTGAACTTTTCTTTTGATGGAGCAGTTTTGAAACACTCTTTTTGTAAAATCTGCCAGAGGATATTTGGATAGCTTTGAGGATTTCTTTTGAAACGGGATTGTCTTCATATAAAATCTAGACAGAAGCATTCTCAGAAGCTTCATTGGGATGTTTCAATTGAAGTCACAGTGTTGAACAGTCCCTTTCATAGAGCAGGTTTGAAACACTCTTTTTGTAGTATCTGGATGTGGACATTTGGAGCGCTTTCAGGCCTATGGTGAAAAAGGAAATATCTTCCCCTGAAAACTAGACAGAAGCATTCTCAGAAACTTATTTGTGATGTGCGCCCTCAACTAACAGTGTTGAAGCTTTCTTTTGATAGAGCAGTTTGGAAACACTCTTTTTGTGGAATCTGCAAGTGGATATTTGTCTAGCTTTGAGGATTTCGTTGGAAACGTGATTACATATTAAAAGCAGACAGCAGCATTCTCAGAAACTTATTTGTGATGTGCGCCCTCAACTAACAGTGTTGAAGCTTTCTTTTGATATAGCAGTTTTGAAACACTCTTTTTCTAATATCTGCAAGAGGATATTTGGATAGCTTTGAGGATTTCGTTGGAAACGGGATTGTCTTCATATAAACTCTAGACAGAAGCATTCTCAGAAGCTTCATTGGGATGTTTCAATTGAAGTCACTGTGTTGAACAGTCCCTTTCATAGAGCAGGTTTGAAACACTCTTTTTGTAGTATCTGGAAGTGGACATTTGGAGAGATCTCAGGAATACGGTGATAAAGGAAATATCTTCCAATAAAAGCTAGATAGAAGCAATGTCAGAAACTTTTTCATGATGTATCTACTCAGCTAACAGAGTTGAACCTTTCTTTTGAGAGAGCAGTTTTGAAACACTCTTTTTGTGGAATCTGCAAGTGGATATTTGTCTAGCTTTGAGGATTTCGTTGGAAACGGGATTACATATAAAAAGCAGACAGCAGCATTCCCAGTAACTTCTTTGTGATGTTTGCATTCAAGTCACAGAGTTGAACATTCCCTTTCATAGAGCAGGTTTGAAACACTCTTTTTGTAGTATCTGGATGTGGACATTTGGAGCGCTTTCAGGCCTATGGTTTAAAAGGAAATATCTTCCCCTGAAAACTAGACAGAAGCATTCTCAGAAACTTATTTGTGATGTGCGCCCTCAACTAACAGTGTTGAAGCTTTCTTTTGATAGAGCAGTTTTGAAACACTCTTTTTGTAATATCTGCAAGAGGATATTTGGATAGGTTTGAGGATTTCGTTGGAAACGGGATTGTCTTCATATAAACTCTAGACAGAAACATTCTCAGAAGCGTCATTGGGATGTTTCAATTGAAGTCACAGTGTTGAACAGTCCCTTTCATAGAGCAGGTTTGAAACACTCTTTTTGTAGTATCTGGATGTGGACATTTGGAGCGCTTTCAGGCCTATGGTTTAAAAGGAAATATCTTCCCCTGAAAACTAGACAGAAGCATTCTCAGAAACTTATTTGTGATGTGCGCCCTCAACTAACAGTGTTGAAGCTTTCTTTTGATAGAGCAGTTTTGAAACACTCTTTTTGTGGAATCTGCAAGTGGATATTTGTCTAGCTTTGAGGATTTCGTTGGAAACGGGATTACATATAAAAAGCAGACAGCAGCATTCTCAGTAAACTTATTTGTGATGTGCGCCCTCAACTAACAGTGTTGAACCTTTCTTTTGATAGAGCAGTTTTGAAACACTCTTTTTGTAATATCTGCAAGAGGATATTTGGATAGCTTTGAGGATTTCGTTGGAAACGGGATTGTCTTCATATAAACTCTAGACAGAAGCATTCTCAGAAGCTTCATTGGGATGTTTCAATTGAAGTCACAGTGTTGAACAGTCTCTTTCATAGAGCAGGTTTGAAACACTCTTTTTGTAGTATCTGGAAGTGGATATTTGGAGAGTTCTCAGGAATACGGTGAAAAAGGAAATATCTTCCAATAAAAGCTAGATAGAAGCAATGTCAGAAACTTTTTCATGATGTATCTACTCAGCTAACAGAGTTGAACCTTTCCTTTGAGAGAGCAGTTTTGAAACAATCTTTTGGTGGAATCTGCAAGTGGATATTTGTCTAGTTTGAGGATTTGGTTGGAAACGGGATTACATATAAAAAGCAGACAGCAGCATTCCCAGAAACTTCTTTGTGATGTTTGCATTCAAGTCACAGAGTTGAACATTCCCTTTCATAGAGCAGGTTTGAAACACTCTTTTTGTAGTATCTGGATGTGGACATTTGGAGCGCTCTCAGGCCTATGGTGAAAAAGGAAATATCTTCCCCTGCAAACTAGACAGAAGCATTCTCAGAATCTTATTTGTGATGTGCGCCCTCAACTAACAGAGTTGAAGCTTTCTTTTGATAGAGCAGTTTTGAAACACTCTTTTTGTAAAATCTGCAAGAGGATATTTGGATAGCTTTGAGGATTTCGTTGGAAACGGGATTGTCTTCATATAAACTCTAGACAGAAGGATTGCCAGAAACTTCTTTGTGAAGTTTGCATTCAAGTCACAGAGTTGAACATTCCCTTTCATAGAGGAGGTTTGAAACACTCTTTTTGTAGTATCTGGATGTGGACATTTGGAGCGCTTTCAAGCCTATGGTGAAAAAGGAAATATCTTCCCCTGAAAACTAGACAGAAGCATTCTCAGGAACTTATTTCTGATGTGCGCCCTCAACTAACAGTGTTGAAGCTTTCTTTTGATAGAGCAGTTTTGATACACTCTTTTTGTGGAATCTGCAAGTGGATATTTGTCTAGCTTTGAGGATTTCGTTGGAAACGGGATTACATATAAAAAGCAGACAGCAGCATTCTCAGAAACTTATTTGTGATGTGCGCCCTCAACTAACAGTGTTGAAGCTTTATTTTGATAGAGCAGTTTTGAAACACTCTTTTTGTAATATCTGCAAGAGAATATTTGGATAGCTTTGAGGATTTCGTTGGAAACGGGATTGTCTTCATATAAACTCTAGAAAGAAGCATTCTCAGAAGCTTCATTGGGATGTTTCAATTGAAGTCACAGTGTTGAACAGTCCCTTTCATAGAGCAGGTTTGAAACACTCTTTTTGTAGTATCTGGAAGTGGACATTTGGAGAGACCTCAGAAATACGGTGATAAAGGAAATATCTTCCAATAAAAGCTAGATAGAAACAATGTCAGAAACTTTTTCATGATGTACCTACTCAGCTAACAGAGTTGAACCTTTCTTTTGAGAGAGCAGTTTTGAAACACTCTTTTTGTGGAATCTGCAAGTGGATATTTGTCTAGTTTTGAGGATTTCGTTGGAAACGGGATTACATATAAAAAGCAGACAGCTGCATTCCCAGAAACTTCTTTGTGATGTTTGCATTCAAGTCACAGAGTTGAACATTCCCTTTCATAGAGCAGGCTTGAAACACTCTTTTTGTAGTATCTGGATGTGGACATTTGGAGCGCTTTCAGGGCTATGGTGAAAAAGGAAATATCTTCCCCTGAAAACTAGACAGAAGCATTCTCAGAAACTTATTTGTGATGTGCGCCCTCAACTAACAGTGTTGAAGCTTTCTTTTGATAGAGCAGTTTTGAAACACTCTTTTTGTAATATCTGCAAGAGGATATTTGGATAGCTTTGAGGATTTCGTTGGAAACGGGATTGTCTTCATATAAACTCTAGACAGAAGCATTCTCAGAAGCTTCATTGGGATGTTTCAATTGAAGTCACAGTGTTGAACAGTCCCTTTCATAGAGCAGGTTTGAAACACTCTTTTTGTAGTATCTGGATGTGGACATTTGGAGCGCTTTCAGGCATATGGTTTAAAAGGAAATATCTTCCCCTGAAAACTAGACAGAAGCATTCTCAGAAACTTATTTGTGATGTACCCCCTCAACTAACAGTGTTGAAGCTTTCTTTTGATAGAGCAGTTTTGAAACACTCTTTTTGTGGAATGTGCAAGTGGATATTTGTCTAGCTTTGAGGATTTCGTTGGAAACGGGATTACATATAAAAAGCAGACAGCAGCATTCTCAGTAAACTTATTTGTGATGTGCGCCCTCAACTAACAGTGTTGAACCTTTCTTTTGATAGAGCAGTTTTGAAACACTCTTTTTGTAATATCTGCAAGAGGATATTTGGATAGCTTTGAGGATTTCGTTGGAAACGGGATTGTCTTCATATAAACTCTAGACAGAAGCATTCTCAGAAGCTTCATTGGGATGTTTCAATTGAAGTCACAGTGTTGAACAGTCCCTTTCATAGAGCAGGTTTGAAACACTCTTTTTGTAGTATCTGGAAGTGGACATTAGGAACGCTCTCAGGACTGCGTTGAAAAAGGAAATATCTTCCAATAAAAGCTAGATAGAAGCAATGTCAGAAACTTTTTCATGATGTATCTACTCAGCTAACAGAGTTGAACCTTTCTTTTGAGAGAGCAGTTTTGAAACACTCTTTTTGTGGAATCTGCAAGTGGATATTTGTCTAGCTTTGAGGATTTCGTTGGAAACGGGATTACATATAAAAAGCAGACAGCAGCATTCCCAGTAATCTTCTTTGTGATGTTTGCATTCAAGTCACAGAGTTGAACATTCCCTTTCATAGAGCAGGTTTGAAACACTCTTTTTGTAGTATCTGGATGTGGACATTTGGAGCGCTTTCAGGCCTATGGTGAAAAAGGAAATATCTTCCCCTGAAAACTAGACAGAAGCATTCTCAGAAACTTAATTGTGATGTGCGCCCTCAACTAACAGTCTTGAAGCTTTCTTTTGATAGAGCAGTTTTGAAACACTCTTTTTGTAAAATCTGCAAGAGGATATTTGGATAGCTTTGAGGATTTCGTTGGAAACGGGATTGTCTTCATATAAACTCTAGACAGAAGCATTCTCAGAAGCGTCATTGGGATGTTTCAATTGAAGTCACAGTGTTGAACAGTCCCTTTCATAGAGCAGGTTTGAAACACTCTTTTTGTAGTATCTGGATGTGGACATTTGGAGCGCTTTCAGGCCTATGGTTTAAAAGGAAATATCTTCCCCTGAAAACTAGACAGAAGCATTCTCAGAAACTTATTTGTGATGTGCGCCCTCAACTAACAGTGTTGAAGCTTTCTTTTGATAGAGCAGTTTTGAAACACTCTTTTTGTGGAATCTGCAAGTGGATATTTGTCTAGCTTTGAGGACTTCGTTGGAAACGGGATTACATATAAAAAGCAGACAGCAGCATTCTCAGAATCTTATTTGTGATGTGCGCCCTCAACTAACAGTGTTGAAGCTTTCTTTTGATAGAGCAGTTTTGAAACTCTCTTTTTGTAAAATCTGCAAGAGGATATTTGGATAGATTTGAGGATTTCGTTGGAAACGGGATTGTCTTCATATAAACTCTAGACAGAAGCATTCTCAGAAGCTTCATTGGGATGTTTCAATTGAAGTCACAGTGTTGAACAGTCCCTTTCATAGAGCAGGTTTGAAACACTCTTTTTGTAGTATCTGGAAGTGGACATTTGGAGCGCTCTCAGGACTGCGGTGAAAAAGGAAATATCTTCCAATAAAAGCTAGATAGAAGCAATGTCAGAAACTTTTTCATGATGTATCTACTCAGCTAACAGCAGTTGAACCTTTCTTTTGAGACAGCAGTTTTGAAACACTCTTTTTGTGGAATCTGGAAGTGGATATTTGTCTAGCTTTGAGGATTTCGTTGGAAACGGGATTACATATAAAAAGCAGACAGCAGCATTCCCAGAAACTTCTTTGTGATATTTGCATTCAAGTCACAGACTTGAACATTCCCTTTCATAGAGCAGGTTTGAAACACTCTTTTTGTAGTATCTGGATGTGGACATTTGGAGCGATTTCAGGCCTATGGTGAAAAAGGAAATATCTTCCCCTGAAAACTAGACAGAAGCATTCTCAGAAACTTATTTGTGATGTGCGCCCTCAACTAACAGTGTTGAACCTTTCTTTTGATAGAGCAGTTTTGAAACACTCTTTTTGTAAAATCTGCAAGAGGATATTTGGATAGCTTTGAGGATTTCGTTGGAAACGGGATTGTCTTCATATAAACTTCTAGACAGAAGCATTCTCAGAAGCTTCATTGGGATGTTTCAATTGAAGTCACAGTGTTGAACAGTCCCTTTCATAGAGCAGGTTTGAAACACTCTTTTTGTAGTATCTGGAAGTGGACATTTGGAGCGTTCTCAGGACTACGGTGAAAAAGGAAATATCTTCCAATAAAAGCTAGATAGAAGCAATGTCAGAAACTTTTTCATGATGTATCTACTCAGCTAACAGAGTTGAACCTTTCTTTTGAGAGAGCCGTTTTGAAACACTCTTTTTGTGGAATCTGCAAGTGGATATTTGTCTAGCTTTGAGGATTTCGTTGGAAACGGGATTACATATAAAAAGCAGACAGCAGCATTCCCAGTAACATCTTTGTGATGTTTGCATTCAAGTCACAGAGTTGAACATTCCCTTTCATAGAGCAGGTTTGAAACACTCTTTTTGTAGTATCTGGATGTGGACATTTGGAGCGCTTTCAGGCCTATGGTGAAAAAGGAAATATCTTCCAATAAAAGCTAGATAGAAGCAATGTCAGAAACTTTTTCATGATGTATCTACTCAGCTAACAGAGTTGAACCTTTCTTTTGAGAGAGCAGTTTTGAAACACTCTTTTTGTGGAATCTGGAAGTGGATATTTGTCTAGCTTTGAGGATTTCGTTGGAAACGGGATTACATATAAAAAGCAGACAGCAGCATTCCCAGTAACTTCTTTGTGACGTTTGCATTCAAGTCACAGAGTTGAACATTCCCTTTCATAGAGCAGGTTTGAAACACTCTTTTTGTAGTATCTGGATGTGGACATTTGGAGCGCTTTCAGGCCTATGGTGAAAAAGGAAATATCTTCCCCTGAAAACTAGACAGAAGCATTCTCAGAATCTTATTTGTGATATGCGCTCTCAACTAACAGTGTTGAAGCTTTCTTTTGATAGAGCAGTTTTGAAACACTCTTTTTGTAAAATCTGCAAGAGGATATTTGGATAGCTTTGAGGATTTCGTTGGAAACGGGATTGTCTTCATATAAACTCTAGACAGAAGCATTCTCAGAAGCTTCATTGGGATGTTTCAATTGAAGTCACAGTGTTGAACAGTCCCTTTCATAGAGCAGGTTTGAAACACTCTTTTTGTAGTATCTGGATGTGGACATTTGGAGCGCTTTCAGGCCTATGGTGAAAAAGGAAATATCTTCCCCTGAAAACTAGACAGAAGCATTCTCAGAAACTTATTTGTGATGTGCGCCCTCAACTAACAGTGTTGAAGCATTCTTTTGATAGGGCAGTTTTGAAAAACTCTTTTTGTGGAATCTGCAAGTGGATATTTGTCTAGCTTTGAGGATTTCGTTGGAAACGGGATTACATATAAAAAGCAGACAGCAGCATTCTCAGAAACTTATTTGTGATGTGCGCCCTCAACTAACAGTGTTGAAGCTTTATTTTGATAGAGCAGTTTTGAAACACTCTTTTTGTAATATCTGCAAGAGAATATTTGGATAGCTTTGAGGATTTCGTTGGAAACGGGATTGTCTTCATATAAACTCTAGAAAGAAGCATTCTCAGAAGCTTCATTGGGATGTTTCAATTGAAGTCACAGTGTTGAACAGTCCCTTTCATAGAGCAGGTTTGAAACACTCTTTTTGTATTATCTGGAAGTGGACATTTGGAGCACTCTCAGGACTGCGGTGAAAAAGGAAATATCTTCCAATAAAAGCTAGATAGAAGCAATGTCAGAAACTTTTTCATGATGTATCTACTCAGCTAACAGAGTTGGACCTTCCTTTGAGAGAGCAGTTTTGAAACACTCTTTTTGTGGAATCTGCAAGTGGATATTTGTCTAGCTTTGGGGATTTCGTTGGAAACGGGATTACATATAAAAAGCAGACAGCAGCATTCCCAGTAACTTCTTTGTGATGTTTGCATTCAAGTCACAGAGTTGAACATTCCCTTTCATAGAGCAGGTTTGAAACACTTTTTTTGTAGTATCTGGATGTGGACATTTGGAGCGCTTTCAGGCCTATGGTGAAAAAGGAAATATCTTCCAATAAAAGCTACATAGAAGCATTCTCAGAAACTTATTTGTGATGTGCGCCCTCAACTAACAGTGTTTGAACATTTCTTTTGATAGAGCAGTTTTGAAACACTCTTTTTGTAAAATCTGCAAGAGGATATTTGGATAGCTTTGAGGATTTCGTTGGAAACGGGATTGTCTTCATATAAAATCTAGACAGAAGCATTCTCAGAAGCTTCATTGGGATGTTTCAATTGAAGTCACAGTGTTGAACAGTCCCTTTCATAGAGCATGTTTGAAACAATCTTTTTGTAGTATCTGGAAGTGGACATTTGGAGCGCTCTCAGGACTACGGTGAAAAAGGAAATATCTTCCAAATAAAGCTAGATAGAAGCAATGTCAGAAAATTTCTCATGATGTATCTGTTCAGCTAACAGAGTTGAACCTTTCTTTTGACAGAGCAGTTTTGAAACACTCTTTTGGTGGAATCTGCAAGTGGATATTTGTCTAGCTTTGAGGATTTCGTTGGAAACGGGATTACATATAAAAAGCAGACAGCAGCATTCCCAGAATCTTGTTTGTGATGTTTGCATTCAAGTCACAGAGTTGAACATTCCCTTTCAGAGAGCAGGTTTGAAACACTCTTTTTGTAGTATCTGGATGTGGACATTTGGAGCGCTTTCAGGCCTATGGTTTAAAAGGAAATATCTTCCCCTGAAAACTAGACAGAAGCATTCTCACAAACTTATTTGTGATGTGCGCCCTCAACTAACAGTGTTGAACTTTTCTTTTGATAGAGCAGTTTTGAAACACTCTTTTTGTAAAATCTGCAAGAGGATATTTGGATAGCTTTGAGGATTTCGTTGGAAACGGGATTGTCTTCATATAAAATCTAGACAGAAGCATTCTCAGAAGCTTCATTGGGATGTTTCAATTGAAGTCACAGTGTTGAACAGTCCCTTTCATAGAGCAGGTTTGAAACACTCTTTTTGTAGTATCTGGATGTGGACATTTGGAGCGCTTTCAGGCCTATGGTGAAAAAGGAAATATCTTCCCCTGAAAACTAGACAGAAAGCATTCTCAGAAACTTATTTGTGATGTACCCCCTCAACTAACAGTGTTGAAGCTTTCTTTTGATAGAGCAGTTTTGAAACACTCTTTTTGTGGAATGTGCAAGTGGATATTTGTCTAGCTTTGAGGATTTCGTTGGAAACGGGATTACATATAAAAAGCAGACAGCAGCATTCTCAGAAACTTATTTGTGATGTGCGCCCTCAACTAACAGTGTTGAAGCTTTCTTTTGATAGAGCAGTTTTGAAACACTCTTTTTGTAATATCTGCAAGAGGATATTTGGATAGCTTTGAGGATTTCGTTGGAAACGGGATTAATTATACAAAGCAGACAGCATCATTCTCAGAAGCTTCATTGGGATGTTTCAATTGAAGTCACAGTGTTGAACAGTCCCTTTCATAGAGCAGATTTGAAACACTCTTTTTGTAGTATCTGGAAGTGGACATTTGGAGCGTTCTCAGCACTACAGTGAAAAAGGAAATATCTTCCAATAAAAGCTAGATAGAAGCAATGTCAGAAACTTTTTCATGATGTATCTACTCAGCTAACAGAGTTGAACCTTCCTTTGAGAGAGCAGTTTTGAAACACTCTTTTTGTGGAATCTGCAAGTGGATATTTGTCTAGCTTTGAGGATTTCGTTGGAAACGGGATTACATATAAAAAGCAGACAGCAGCATTCCCAGAAACTTCTTTGTGATGTTTGCATTCAAGTCACAGAGTTGAACATTCCCTTTCATAGAGCAGGTTTGAAACACTCTTTTTGTAGTATCTGTATGTGGACATTTGGAGCGCTTTCAGGCCTATGGTGAAAAAGGAAATATCTTCCCCTGAAAACTAGACAGAAGCATTCTCAGAATCTTATTTGTGATGTGCGCCCTCAACTAACAGTGTTGAAACTTTCTTTTGATAGAGCAGTTTTGAAACACTCTTTTTGTAAAATCTGCAAGAGGATATTTGGATAGCTTTGAGGATTTCGTTGGAAACGGGATTGTCTTCATATAAACTCTAGACAGAAGCATTCTCAGAAGCTTCATTGGGATGTTTCAATTGAAGTCACAGTGTTGAACAGTCCCTTTCATAGAGCAGGTTTGAAACACTCTTTTTGTAGTATCTGGAAGTGGACATTTGGAGAGATCTCAGGAATACGGTGATAAAGGAAATGTCTTCCAATAAAAGCTAGATAAAAGCAATGTCAGAAACTTTTTCATGATGTATCTACTCAGCTAACAGAGTTGAACCTTCCTTTGAGAGAGCAGTTTTGAAACACTCTTTTTGTGGAATCTGCAAGTGGATATTTGTCTAGCTTTGAGGATTTCGTTGGAAACGGGTTACATATAAAAAGCAGACAGCAGCATTCCCAGTAACTTCTTTGTGATGTTTGCATTCAAGTCACAGAGTTGAACACTCCCTTTCATAGAGCAGGTTTGAAACACTCTTTTTGTAGTATCTGGATGTGGACATTTGGAGCGCTTTCAGGCCTAGGGTGAAAAAGGAAATATCTTCCCCTGAAAACTAGACAGAAGCATTCTCAGAAACTTATTTGTGATGTGCGCCCTCAACTAACAGTGTTGAAGCTTTCTTTTGATAGAGCAGTTTTGAAACACTCTTTTTGTAATATCTGCAAGAGGATATTTGGATAGCTTTGAGGATTTCGTTGGAAACGGGATTGTCTTCATATAAACTCTAGACAGAAGCATTCTCAGAAGCTTCATTGGGATGTTTCAATTGAAGTCACAGTGTTGAACAGTCCCTTTCATAGAGCAGGTTTGAAACACTCTTTTTGTAGTATCTGGATGTGGACATTTGGAGCGCTTTCAGGCCTATGGTGAAAAAGGAAATATCTTCCCCTGAAAACTAGAGAGAAGCATTCTCAGAAACTTATTTCTGATGTGCGCCCTCAACTAACAGTGTTGAAGCATTCTTTTGATAGAGCAGTTTTGAAACACTCTTTTTGTGGAATCTGTAAGTGGATATTTGTCTAGCTTTGAGGATTTCGTTGGAAACGGGATTACATATAAAAAGCAGACAGCAGCACTCCCAGAATCTTCTTTGTGATGTTTGCATTCAAGTCACAGAGTTGAACATTCCCTTTCATAGAGCAGGTTTGAAACACTCTTTTTATAGTATCTGGATGTGGACATTTGGAGCGCTTTCAGGCCTATGGTGAAAAAGGAAATATCTTCTCCTGAAAAATAGACAGAAGCATTCTCAGTATCTTATTTGTGATGTGCGCCCTCAACTAACAGTGTTGAACCTTTCTTTTGATAGAGCAGTTTTGAAACACTCTTTTTGTAAAATCTGCAAGAGGATATTTGGATAGCTTTGAGGATTTCGTTGGAAACGGGATTGTCTTCATATAAACTCTAGACAGTAGCATTCTCAGAAGCTTCATTGGGATGTTTCAATTGAAGTCACAGTGTTGAACAGTCCCTTTCATAGAGCAGGTTTGAAACACTCTTTTTGTAGTATCTGGATGTGGACATTTGGAGCGCTTTCAGGCCTATGGTGAAAAAGGAAATATCTTCCCCTGAAAACTAGACAGAAGCATTCTCAGAAACTTATTTGTGATGTGCGCCCTCAACTAACAGTGTTGAAGCTTTCTTTTGATAGAGCAGTTTTGAAACACTCTTTTTGTGGAATCTGCAAGTGGATATTTGTCTAGCTTTGAGGATTTCGTTGGAAACGGGATTACATATAAAAAGCAGACAGCAGCATTCTCAGTAAACTTATTTGTGATGTGCGCCCTCAACTAACAGTGTTGAACCTTTCTTTTGATAGAGCAGTTTTGAAACACTCTTTTTGTAATATCTGCAAGAGGATATTTGGATAGCTTTGAGGATTTCGTTGGAAACGGGATTGTCTTCATATAAACTCTAGACAGAAGCATTCTCAGAAGCTTCATTGGGATGTTTCAATTGAAGTCACAGTGTTGAACAGTCCCTTTCATAGAGCAGGTTTGAAACACTCTTTTTGTAGTATCTGGAAGTGGACATTTGGAGCGCTCTCAGTACTGCGGTGAAAAAGGAAATATCTTCCAATAAAAGCTAGATAGAAGCAATATCAGAAACTTTTTCATGATGTATCTACTCAGCTAACAGAGTTGAACATTTTTTTTGAGAGAGCAGTTTTGAAACACTCTTTTTGTGGAATCTGCAGGTGGATATTTTTCTAGCTTTCAGGATTTCGTTGGAAACGGGATTACATATAAAAAGCAGACAGCAGCATTCCCAGAAACTTCTTTGTGATATTTGCATTCAAGTCACAGAGTTGAACATTCCCTTTCATAGAGCAGGTTTGAAACACTCTTTTTGTAGTATCTGGATGTGGACATTTGCAGCGCTTTCAGGCATAAGGTGAAAAAGGAAATATCTTCCCCTGAAAACTAGACAGAAGCATTCTCAGAATCTTATTTGTGATGTGCGCCCTCAACTAACAGTGTTGAACCTTTCTTTTGATAGAGCAGTTTTGAAACACTCTTTTTGTAAAATCTGCAAGAGGATATTTGGATAGCTTTGAGGATTTCGTTGGAAACGGGATTGTCTTCATATAAACTCCAGACAGAAGCATTCTCAGAAGCTTCATTGGGATGTTTCAGTTGAAGTCACAGTGTTGAACAGTCCCTTTCATAGAGCAGGTTTGAAACACTCTTTTTGTAGTATCTGGAAGTGGACATTTGGAGCGCTCTCAGGACTGCGGTGAAAAAGGAAATATCTTCCAATAAAAGCTAGATAGAAGCAATGTCAGAAACTTTTTCATGATGTATCTACTCAGCTAACAGAGTTGAACTTTTCTTTTGAGAGAGCAGTTTTGAAACACTCTTTTTGTGGAATCTGCAAGTGGATATTTGTCTAGCTTTGAGGATTTCGTTGGAAATGGGATTACATATAAAAAGCAGACAGCAGCATTACCAGAAAGTTCTTTGTGAAATTTGCATTCAAGTCACAGACTTGAACATTTCCTTTCATAGAGCAGGTTTGAAACACTCTTTTTGTAGTATCTGGATGTGGACATTTGGAGCGCTTTCAGGCCTATGGTGAAAAAGGAAATATCTTCCCCTGAAAACTAGACAGAAGCATTCTCAGAAACTTATTTGTGATGTGCGCCCTCAACTAACAGTGTTGAAGCTTTCTTTTGATAGAGCAGTTTTGAAACACTCTTTTTGTAAAATCTGCAAGAGGATATTTGGATAGCTTGGAGGATTTCGTTGGAAACGGGATTGTCTTCATATTAACCCTAGACAGTAGCATTCTCAGAAGCTTCATTGGGATGTTTCAATTGAAGTCACAGTGTTGAACAGTCCCTTTCATAGAGCAGGTTTGAAACACTCTTTTTGTAGTATCTGGAAGTGGACATTTGGAGAGATCTCAGGAATACGGTGAAAAAGGAAATATCTTCTCCTGAAAACTAGACAGAAGCATTCTCAGAAACTTATTTGTGATGTGCGCCCTCAACTAACAGTGTTGAAGCTTTCTTTTGACAGAGCAGTTTTGAAACAATCTTTTTATCTGCAAGTGGATATTTGTCTAGCTTTGAGGATTTCGTTGGAAACGGGATTACATATAAAAAGCAGACAGCAGCATTCTCAGAAACTTATTTGTGATGTGCGCCCTCAACTAACAGTGTTGAAGCTTTCTTTTGATAGAGCAGTTTTGAAACACTCTTTTTGTAATATCTGCAAGAGGATATTTGGATAGCTTTGAGGATTTCGTTGGAAACGGGATTAATTATACAAAGCAGACAGCAGCATTCTCAGAAGCTTCATTGGGATGTTTCAATTGAAGTCACAGTGTTGAACAGTTCCTTTCATAGAACAGGTTTGAAACACTCTTTTTGTAGTATCTGGAAGTGGACATTTGGAGCGCTCTCAGGACTACGGTGAAAAAGGAAATATCTTCCAATAAAAGCTACATAGAAGCAATGTCAGAAACATTTTCATGATGTATCTACTCAGCTAACAGAGTTGAACCTTTCTTTTGAGAGAGCAGTTTTGAAACACTCTTTTTGTGGAATCTGCAAGTGGATATTTGTCTAGCTTTGAGGATTTCGTTGGAAACGGGATTACATATAAAAAGCAGACAGCAGCATTCCCAGAAACTTCTTTGTGATGTTTGCATTCAAGTCACAGAGTTGAACATTCCCTTTCAGAGAGCAGGTTTGAAACACTCTTTTTGTAGTATCTGGATGTGGACATTTGGAGCGCTTTCAGGCCTATGGTGAAAAAGGAAATATCTTCCCCTGAAAACTAGACAGAAGAATTCTCAGAATCTTATTTGTGATGTGCGCCCTCAACTAACAGTGTTGAAGCTTTCTTTTGATAGAGCAGTTTTGAAACACTCTTTTTGTAAAATCTGCAAGAGGATATTTGGATAGCTTTGAGGATTTCGTTGGAAACGGGATTGTCTTCATATAAACTCTACACAGAAGCATTCTCAGATGCTTCATTGGGACGTTTCAATTGAAGTCACAGTGTTGAACAGTCCCTTTCATAGAGCAGGTTTGAAACACTCTTTTTGTAGTATCTGGATGTGGACATTTGGAACGCTTTCAGGCCTATGGTGAAAAAGGAAATATCTTCCCCTGAAAACTAGACAGAAGCATTCTCAGAAACTTATTTGTGATGTGCGCCCTCAACTAACAGTGTTGAAGCATTCTTTTGATAGAGCAGTTTTGAAACACTCTTTTTGTGGAATCTGCAAGTGGATATTTGTCTAGCTTTGAGGATTTCGTTGGAAACGGGATTACATATAAAAAGCAGACAGCTAAGCATTCTCCGAAACTTATTTGTGATGGGCGCCCTCAACTAACAGTGTTGAAGCTTTCTTTTGATAGAGCAGTTTTGAAACACTCTTTTTGTAATATCTGCAAGAGGATATTTGGATAGCTTTCAGGATTTCGTTGGAAACGGGATTGTCTTCATATAAACTCTAGACATAAGCATTCTCAGAAGCTTCATTGGGATGTTTCAATTGAAGTCACTGTGTTGAACAGTCCCTTTCATAGAGTATGTTTGAAACACTCTTTTTGTAGTATCTGGAAGTTGACATTTGGAGCGTTTTCAGGACTACGGTGAAAAAGGAAATATCTTCCAAATAAAGCTAGGTAGAAGCAATGTCAGAAAATTTTTCATGAGGTATCTACTCAGCTAACAGAATTGAACCTTTCTTTTGAGAGAGCAGTTTTGAAACACTCTTTTTGTGGAATCTGCAAGTGGATATTTGTCTAGCTTTGAGGATTTCGTTGGAAACGGGATTACATATAAAAAGCAGACAGCAGCATTCCCAGAAACTTCTTTGTGATGTTTGCTTTCAAGTCACAGAGTTGAACATTCCCTTTCGTAGAGCAGGTTTGAAACACTCTTTTTGTAGTATCTGGATGTGGACATTTGGAGCGCTTTCAGGCCTATGGTGAAAAAGGAAATATCTTCCCCTGAAAACTAGACAGAAGCATTCTCAGAAACTTATTTGTGATGTGCGCCCTCAACTAACAGTGTTGAAGCTTTCTTTTGATAGAGCAGTTTTGAAACACTCTTTTTGTAATATCTGCAAGAGGATGTTTGGATAGCTTTGAGGATTTCGTTGGAAACGGGATTGTCTTCATATAAACTCTAGACAGAAGCATTCTCAGAAGCGTCATTGGGATGTTTCAATTGAAGTCACAGTGTTGAACAGTCCCTTTCATAGAGCAGGTTTGAAACACTCTTTTTGTAGTATCTGGATGTGGACATTTGGAGCGCTTTCAGGCCTATGGTTTAAAAGGAAATATCTTCCCCTGAAAACTAGACAGAAGCATTCTCAGAAACTTATTTGTGATGTGCGCCCTCAACTAACAGTGTTGAAGCTTTCTTTTGATAGAGCAGTTTTGAAACACTCTTTTTGTGGAATCTGCAAGTGGATATTTGTCTAGCTTTGAGGATTTCGTTGGAAACGGGATTACATATAAAAAGCAGACAGCAGCATTCTCAGAAACTTATTTGTGATGTGCGCCCTCAACTAACAGTGTTGAAGCTTTATTTTGATAGAGCAGTTTTGAAACACTCTTTTTGTAATATCTGCAAGAGAATATTTGGATAGCTTTGAGGATTTCGTTGGAAACGGGATTGTCTTCATATAAACTCTAGAAAGAAGCATTCTCAGAAGCTTCATTGGGATGTTTCAATTGAAGTCACAGTGTTGAACAGTCCCTTTCATAGAGCAGGTTTGAAACACTCTTTTTGTAGTATCTGGAAGTGGACATTTGGAGCGCTCTCAGGACTGCGGTGAAAAAGGAAATATCTTCCAATAAAAGTTAGATAGAAGCAATGTCAGAAACTTTTTCATGATGTATCTACTCAGCTAACAGAGTTGAACCTTCCTTTGAGAGAGCAGTTTTGAAACACTCGTTTTGTGGAATCTGCAAGTGGATATTTGTCTAGCTTTGAGGATTTCGTTGGAAACGGGATTACATATAAAAAGCAGACAGCAGCATTCCCAGAAACTTCTTTGTGATGTTTGCATTCAAGTCACAGAGTTGAACATTCCCTTTCAGAGAGCAGGTTTGAAACACTCTTTTTGTAGTATCTGGATGTGGACATTTGGAGCGCTTTCAGGCCTATGGTGAAAAAGGAAATATCTTCCCCTGAAAACTAGACAGAAGCATTCTCAGAAACTTATTTGTGATGTGCGCCCTCAACTAACAGTGTTGAAGCTTTCTTTTGATAGAGCAGTTTTGAAACACTCTTTTTGTAATATCTGCAAGAGGATATTTGGATAGCTTTGAGGATTTCGTTGGAAACGGGATTGTCTTCATATAAACTCTAGGCAGAAGCATTCTCAGAAGCTTCATTGGGATGTTTCAATTGAAGTCACAGTGTTGAACAGTCCCTTTCATAGAGCAGGTTTGAAACACTCTTTTTGTAGTATCTGGAAGTGGACATTTGGAGCGCTCTCAGGACTACGGTGAAAAAGGAAATATCTTCCAATAAAAGCTACATAGAAGCAATGTCAGAAAATTGTTCATGATGTATCTACTCAGCTAACAGAATTGAACCTTTCTTTTGAGAGAGCAGTTTTGAAACACTCTTTTTGTGGAATCTGCAAGTGGATATTTGTCTAGCTTTGAGGATTTCGTTGGAAACGGGATTACATATAAAAAGCAGACAGCAGCATTCCCAGAAACTTCTTTGTGATGTTTGCATTCAAGTCACAGAGTTGAACATTCCCTTTCATAGAGCAGGTTTGAAACACTCTTTTTGTAGTATCTGTATGTGGACATTTGGAGCGCTTTCAGGCCTATGTTGAAAAAGGAAATATCTTCCCCTGAAAACTAGACAGAAGAATTCTTAGAATCTTATTTGTGATGTGCGCCCTCAACAAACAGTGTTGAAGCTTTCTTTTGATAGAGCAGTTTTGAAACACTCTTTTTGTAAAATCTGCAAGAGGATATTTGGATAGCTTTGAGGATTTCGTTGGAAACGGGATTGTCTTCATATAAACTCTAGACAGAAGCATTCTCAGAAGCTTCATTGGGATGTTTCAATTGAAGTCACAGTGTTGAACACTCCCTTTCATAGAGCAGGTTTGAAACACTCTTTTTGTAGTATCTGGATGTGGACATTTGGAGCGCTTTCAGGCCTATGGTTTAAAAGGAAATATCTTCCCCTGAAAACTAGACAGAAGCATTCTCAGAAACTTATTTGTGATGTGCGCCCTCAACTAACAGTGTTGAAGCTTTCTTTTGATAGAGCAGTTTTGAAACACTCTTTTTGTGGAATCTGCAAGTGGATATTTGTCTAGCTTTGAGGATTTCGTTGGAAACGGGATTACATATAAAAAGCAGACAGCAGCATTCCCAGAATCTTGTTTGTGATGTTTGCATTCAAGTCACAGAGTTGAACATTCCCTTTCAGAGAGCAGGTTTGAAACACTCTTTTTGTAGTCTCTGGATGTGGACATTTGGAGCGCTTTCAGGCCTATGGTGAAAAAGGAAATATCTTCTCCTGAAAACTAGACAGAAGCATTCTCAGAAGCTTCATTGGGATGTTTCAATTGAAGTCACAGTGTTGAACAGTCCCTTTCATAGAGCAGGTTTGAAACACTCTTTTTGTAGTATCTGGAAGTGGACATTTGGAGAGATCTCAGGAATACGGTGATAAAGGTAATATCTTCCAATAAAAGCTAGATAGAAGCAATGTCAGAAACTTTTTCATGATCTATCTACTCAGCTAACAGAGTTGAACCTTTCTTTTGAGACAGCAGTTTTGAAACACTCTTTTGGTGGAATATGCAAGTGGATATTTGTCTAGCTTTGAGGATTTCGTTGGAAACGGGATTACATATAAAAAGCAGACAGCAGCATTCCCAGAAACTTCTTTGTGATGTTTGCATTCAAGTCACAGAGTTGAACATTCCCTTTCATACAGCAGGTTTGAAACACTCTTTTTGTAGTATCTGGATGTGGACATTTGGAGCGCTTTCAGGCCTATGGTGAAAAAGGAAATATCTTCCCCTGAAAACTAGACAGAAGCATTCTCAGAAACTTATTTGTGATGTGCGCCCTCAACTAACAGTGTTGAAGCTTTCTTTTGATAGAGCAGTTTTGAAACACTCTTTTTGTAATATCTGCAAGAGGATATTTGGATAGCTTTGAGGATTTCGTTGGAAACGGGATTGTCTTCATATAAACTCTAGGCAGAAGCATTCTCAGAAGCTTCATTGGGATGTTTCAATTGAAGTCACAGTGTTGAACAGTTCCTTTCATAGAACAGGTTTGAAACACTCTTTTTGTAGTATCTGGAAGTGGACATTTGGAGCGCTCTCAGGACTACGGTGAAAATGGAAATATCTTCCAATAAAAGCTACATAGAAGCAATGTCAGAAACTTTTTCATGATGTATCTACTCAGCTAACAGAGTTGAACCTTTCCTTTGAGAGAGCAGTTTTGAAACACTCTTTTTGTGGAATCTGCAAGTGGATATTTGTCTAGCTTTGAGGATTTCGTTGGAAACGGGATTACATATAAAAATCAGACAGCAGAATTCCCAGTAACTTCTTTGTGATGTTTGCATTCAAGTCACAGAGTTGAACATTCCCTTTCATAGAGCAGGTTTGAAACACTCTTTTTGTAGTATCTGGATGTGGACATTTTGAGCGCTTTGAGGCCTATGGTGAAAAAGGAAATCTCTTCCCCTGAAAACTAGACAGAAGCATTCTCAGAATCTTATTTGTGATGTGCGCCCTCAACTAACAGTGTTGAAGCTTTCTTTTGATAGAGCAGTTTTGAAACACTCTTTTTGTAAAATCTGCAAGAGGATATTTGGATAGCTTTGAGGATTTCGTTGGAAACGGGATTGTCTTCATATAAACTCTAGACAGAAGCATTCTCAGAAGCTTCATTGGGATGTTTCAATTGAAGTTACAGTGTTGAACAGTCTCTTTCATAGAGCAGGTTTGAAACACTCTTTTTGTAGTATCTGGATGTGGACATTTGGAGCGCTTTCAGGCCTATGGTTTAAAAGGAAATATCTTCCCCTGAAAACTAGACAGAAGCATTCTCAGAATCTTATTTGTGATGTGCGCCCTCAACTAACAGTGTTGAAGCTTTCTTTTGATAGAGCAGTTTTGAAACACTCTTTTTGTGGAATCTGAAAGTGGATATTTGTCTAGCTTTGAGGATTTCGTTGGAAACGGGATTACATATAAAAAGCAGACAGCAGCATTCTCAGAAACTTATTTGTGATGTGCGCCCTCAACTAACAGTGTTGAAGCTTTCTTTTGATAGAGCAGTTTTGAAACACTCTTTTTGTAATATCTGCAAGAGGATATTTGGATAGCTTTGAGGATTTCGTTGGAAACGGGATTAATTATACAAAGCAGACAGCAGCATTCTCTGAAGCTTCATTGGGATGTTTCAATTGAAGTCACAGTGTTGAACAGTTCCTTTCATAGAACAGGTTTGAAACACTCTTTTTGTAGTATCTGGAAGTGGACATTTGGAGCGCTCCTCAGGACTACGGTGAAAATGGAAATATCTTCCAATAAAAGCTACATAGAAGCAATGTCAGAAACTTTTTCATGATGTATCTACTCAGCTTACAGAGTTGAACCTTCCTTTGAGAGAGCAGTTTTGAAACACTCTTTTTGTGGAATCTGCAAGTGGATATTTGTCTAGCTTTGAAGATTTCACTGGAAACGGGATTACATATAAAAAGCAGACAGCAGCATTCCCAGAAACTTCTTTGTGATGTTTGCATTCAAGTCACAGAGTTGAACATTCCCTTTCATAGAGCAGGTTTGAAACACTCTTTTTGTAGTATCTGTATGTGGACATTTGCAGCGCTTTCAGGCCTAAGGTGAAAAAGGAAATATCTTCCCCTGAAAACTAGACAGAAGCATTCTCAGAATCTTATTTGTGATGTGCGCCCTCAACTAACAGTGTTGAAACTTTCTTTTGATAGAGCAGTTTTGAAACACTCTTTTCGTAAAATCTGCAAGAGGATATTTGGATAGCTTTGAGGATTTCGTTGGAAACGGGATTGTCTTCATATAAACTCTAGACAGAAGCATTCTCAGATGCTTCATTGGGATGTTTCAATTGAAGTCACAGTGTTGAACAGTCCCTTTCATAGAGCAGGTTTGAAACACTCTTTTTGTAGTATCTGGATGTGGACATTTGGAGCGCTTTCAGGCCTATGGTGAAAAAGGAAATATCTTCCCCTGAAAACTAGACAGAAGCATTCTCAGAAACTTATTTGTGATGTGCGCCCTCAACTAACAGTGTTGAAGCTTTCTTTTGATAGAGCAGTTTTGAAACACTCTTTTTGTGGAATCTGCAAGAGGATATTTGTCTAGCTTTGAGGATTTCGTTGGAAACGGGATTACATATAAAAAGCAGACAGCAGCATTCCCAGTAACTTCTTTGTGATGTTTGCATTCAAGTCACAGAGTTGAACACTCCCTTTCATAGAGCAGGTTTGAAACACTCTTTTTGTAGTATCTGGATGGGGACATTTGGAGCGCTTTCAGGCCTATGGTGAAAAAGGAAATATCTTCCCCTGAAAACTAGACAGAAGCATTCTCAGAATCTTATTTGTGATGTGCGCCCTCAACTAACAGTGTTGAAGCTTTCTTTTGATAGAGCAGTTTTGAAACACTCTTTTTGTAAAATCTGCAAGAGGATATTTGGATAGGTTTGAGGATTTCGTTGAAAACGGGATTGTCTTCATATAAACTCTAGACAGAAGCATTCTCAGAAGCTTCATTGGGATGTTTCAATTGAAGTCACAGTGTTGAACAGTCCCTTTCATAGAGCAGGTTTGAAACGCTCTTTTTGTAGTATCTGGAAGTGGACATTTGGAGAGTTCTCAGGAATACGGTGAAAAAGGAAATATCTTCCAATAAAAGCTAGACAGAAGCAATGTCAGAAAATTTTTCATGAGGTATCTACTCAGCTAACAGAATTGAACCTTTCTTTTGAGAGAGCAGTTTTGAAACACTCTTTTTGTGGAATCTGCAGGTGGATATTTGTCTAGCTTTGAGGATTTCGTTGGAAACGGGATTACATATAAAAAGCAGACAGCAGCATTCCCAGAAACTTCTTTGTGATGTTTGCATTCAAGTCACAGAGTTGAACATTCCCTTTCATAGAGCAGGTTTGAAGCACTCTTTTTGTAGTATCTGGATGTGGACATTTGGAGCGCTTTCAGCCCTATGGTGAAAAAGGAAATATCTTCCCCTGAAAACTAGACAGAAGCATTCTCAGAATCTTATTTGTGATGTGCGCCCTCAACTAACAGTGTTGAAGCTTTCTTTTGATAGAGCAGTTTTGAAACACTCTTTTTGTAAAATCTGCAAGAGGATATTTGGATAGCTTTGAGGATTTCGTTGGAAACGGGATTGTCTTCATATAAACTCTAGACAGAAGCATTCTCAGAAGCGTCATTGGGATATTTCAATTGAAGTCACAGTGTTGAACAGTCCCTTTCATAGAGCAGGTTTGAAACACTCTTTTTGTAGTATCTGGATGTGGACATTTGGAGCGCTTTCAGGCCTATGGTTTAAAAGGAAATATCTTCCCCTGAAAACTAGACAGAAGCATTCTCAGAAACTTATTTGTGATGTGCGCCCTCAACTAACAGTGTTGAAGCTTTCTTTTGATAGAGCAGTTTTGAAACACTCTTTTTGTGGAATCTGCAAGTGGATATTTGTCTAGCTTTGAGGATTTCGTTGGAAACGGGATTACATATAAAAAGCAGACAGCAGCATTCTCAGCAAACTTATTTGTGATGTGCGCCCTCAACTAACAGTGTGGAACTTTTCTTTTGATAGAGCAGTTTTGAAACACTCTTTTTGTAAAATCTGCAAGAGGATATTTGGATAGCTTTGAGGATTTCGTTGGAAACGGGATTGTCTTCATATAGAATCTAGACAGAAGCATTCTCAGAAGCTTCATTGGGATGTTTCAATTGAAGTCACAGTGTTGAACAGTCCCTTTCATAGAGCAGGTTTGAAACACTCTTTTTGTAGTATCTGGAAGTGGACATTTCGAGCGCTCTCAGGACTGCGGTGAAAAAGGAACTATCTTCCAATAAAAGCTAGATAGAAGCAATGTCAGAAACTTTTTCATGATGTATCTACTCAGCTAACAGAGTTGAACCTTCCTTTGAGAGAGCAGTTTTGAAACACTCTTTTTGTGGAATCTGCAAGGGGATATTTGCCTAGCTTTGAGGATTTCGTTGGAAACGGGATTACATATAAAAAGCAGACAGCAGCATTCGCAGAAACTTCTTTGTGATGTTTGCATTCAAGTCACAGAGTTGAACATTCCCTTTCATAGAGCAGGTTTGAAACACTCTTTTTGTAGTATCTGGATGTGGACATTTGCAGCGCTTTCAGGCATAAGGTGAAAAAGGAAATATCTTCCCCTGAAAACTAGACAGAAGCATTCTCAGAAACTTATTTGTGATGTGCGCCCTCAACTAACAGTGTTGAACCTTTCTTTTGATAGAGCAGTTTAGAAACACTCTTTTTGTAATATCTGCAAGAGGATATTTGGATAGCTTTGAGGATTTCTTTGGAAACGGGATTGTCTTCATATAAACTCTAGACAGAAGCATTCTCAGAAGCGTCATTGGGATGTTTCAATTGAAGTCACACTGTTGAACAGTCCCTTTCATAGAGCAGGTTTGAAACACTCTTTTTGTAGTATCTGGATGTGGACATTTGGAGCGCTTTCAGGCCTATGGTTTAAAAGGAAATATCTTCCCCTGAAAACTAGACCGAAGCATTCTCAGAAACTTATTTGTGATGTGCGCCCTCAACTAACAGTGTTGAAGCATTCTTTTGATAGAGCAGTTTTGAAACACTCTTTTTGTGGAATCTGCAAGTGGATATTTGTCTAGCTTTGAGGATTTCGTTGGAAACGGGATTACATATAAAAAGCAGACAGCAGCATTCTCAGAAACTTATTTGTGATGTGCGCCCTCAACTAACAGTGTTGAAGCTTTCTTTTGATAGAGCAGTTTTGAAACACTCTTTTTGTAATATCTGCAAGAGGATATTTGGATAGCTTTGAGGATTTCGTTGGAAACGGGATTAATTATACAAAGCAGACAGCAGCATTCTCAGAAGCTTCATTGGGATGTTTCAATTGAAGTCACAGTGTTGAACAGTCCCTTTCATAGAGCAGGTTTGAAACACTCTTTTTGTAGTATCTGGAAGTGGACATTTGGAGAGATCTCAGGAATACGGTGATAAAGGAAATATCTTCCAATAAAAGCTAGATAGAAGCAATGTCAGAAACTTTTTCATGATGTATCTACTCAGCTAACAGAGTTGAACCTTTCTTTTGAGAGAGCAGTTTTGAAACACTCTTTTTGTGGAATCTGCAAGTGGATATTTGTCTAGCTTTGAGGATTGCGTTGGAAACGGGATTACATATAAAAACCAGACAGCAGCATTCCCAGAATCTTCTTTGTGATGTTTGCATTCAAGTCACAGAGTTGAACATTCCCTTTCATAGAGCAGGTTTGAAACACTCTTTTTGTAGTATCTGGATGTGGACATTTGCAGCGCTTTCAGGCCTATGGTGAAAAAGGAAATATCTTCCCCTGAAAACTAGACAGAAGCATTCTCAGAATCTTATTTGTGATGTGCGCCCTCAACTAACAGAGTTGAAGCTTTCTTTTGATAGAGCAGTTTTGAAACACTCTTTTTGTAAAATCTGCAAGAGGATATTTGGATAGCTTTGAGGATTTCGTTGGAAACGGGATTGTCTTCATATAAACTCTAGACAGAAGCATTCTCAGAAGCTTCATTGGGATGTTTCAATTGAAGTCACAGTGTTGAACAGTCCCTTTCATAAAGCAGGTTTCAAACACTCTTTTTGTAGTATCTGGATGTGGACATTTGGAGCGCTTTCAGGCCTCTGGTTTAAAAGGAAATATCTTCCCCTGAAAACTAGACAGAAGCATTCTCAGAAACTTATTTGTGATGTGCGCCCTAAACTAACTGTGTTGAAGCTTTCTTTTGATAGAGCAGTTTTGAAACACTCTTTTTGTAATATCTGCAAGAGGATATTTGGATAGCTTTGAGGATTTCGTTGGAAACGGGATTAATTATAAAAAGCAGACAGCAGCATTCTCAGAAACTTATTTGTGATGTGCGCCCTCAACTAACAGTGTTGAACCTTTCTTTTGATAGAGCAGTTTTGGAACACTCTTTTTGTAAAATCTGCAAGAGGATATTTGGATAGCTTTCAGGATTTCGTTGGAAACGGGATTGTCTTCATATAAACTCTAGACAGAAGCATTCTCAGAAGCTTCATTGGGATGTTTCAATTGAAGTCACAGTGTTGAACAGTCCCTTTCATAGAGCAGGTTTGAAACACTCTTTTTGTAGTATCTGGAAGTGGACATTTTGAGAGATCTCAGGAATACGGTGATAAAGGAAATATCTTCCAATAAAAGCTAGATAGAAGCAATGTCAGAAACTTTTTCATGATGTATCTACTCAGCTAACAGAGTTGAACCTTCCTTTGAGAGAGCAGTTTTGAAACACTCTTTTTGTGGAATCTGCAAGTGGATATTTGTCTAGCTTTGAGGATTTCGTTGGAAACGGGATTACATATAAAAAGCAGACAGCAGCATTCCCAGAAACTTCTTTGTGATGTTTGCATTCAAGTCAGAGAGTTGAACATTCCCTTTCATAGAGCAGGTTTGAAACACTCTTTTTGTAGTATCTGGATGTGTACATTTGCAGCGCTTTCAGGCCTAAGGTGAAAAAGGAAATATCTTCCCCTGAAAACTAGACAGAAGCATTCTCAGAAACTAATTTGTGATGTGCGCCCTCAACTAACAGTGTTGAAGCTTTCTTTTGATAGAGCAGTTTTGAAACACTCTTTTTGTAATATCTGCAAGAGGATATTTGGATATCTTTGAGGATTTCGTTGGAAACGGGATTGTCTTCATATAAACTCTAGACAGAAGCATTCTCAGAATCTTCATTGGGATGTTTCAATTGAAGTCACAGTGTTGAACAGTCCCTTTCATAGAGCAGGTTTGAAACACTCTTTTTGTAGTATCTGGAAGTGGACATTTGGAGAGATCTCAGGAATACGGGGATAAAGGAAATATCTTCCAACAAAAGCTAGATAGAAGCATTCTCAGAAACTTATTTGTGATGTGCGCCCTCAACTAACAGTGTTGAACCTTTCTTTTGATAGAGCAGTTTTGAAACACTCTTTTTGTAATATCTGCAAGAGGATATTTGGATAGCTTTGAGGATTTCGTTGGAAACGGGATTACATATAAAAAGCAGACAGCAGCATTCTCAGAAACTTATTTGTGATGTGCGCCCTCAACTAACAGTGTTGAAGCTTTATTTTGATAGAGCAGTTTTGAAACACTCTTTTTGTAATATCTGCAAGAGAATATTTGGATAGCTTTGAGGATTTCGTTGGAAACGGGATTGTCTTCATATAAACTCTAGAAAGAAGCATTCTCAGAAGCTTCATTGGGATGTTTCAATTGAAGTCACAGTGTTGAACAGTTCCTTTCATAGAACAGGTTTGAAACACTCTTTTTGTAGTATCTGGAAGTGGACATTTGGAGAGATCTCAGGACTATGGTGAAAAAGGAAATATCTTCCAATAAAAGCTACATAGAAGCAATGTCAGAAACATTTTCATGATGTATCTACTCAGCTAACAGAGTTGAACCTTTCTTTTCTGAGAGCAGTTTTGAAACACTCTTTTTGTGGAATCTGCAAGTGGATATTTGTCTAGCTTTGAGGATTTCGTTGGAAACGGGATTACATATAAAAAGCAGACAGCAGCATTCCCAGAAACTTCTTTGTGATGTTTGCATTCAAGTCACAGAGTTGAACATTCCCTTTCATAGAGCAGGTTTGAAACACTCTTTTTGTAGTATCTGGATGTGGACATTTGGAGCGCTTTCAGGCCTATGGTGAAAAAGGAAATATCTTCCCCTGAAAACTAGACAGAAGCATTTTCAGAATCTTATTTGTGATGTGCGCCCTCAGCTAACAGTGTTGAAGCTTTCTTTTGATAGAGCAGTTTTGAAGCAGTCTTTTTGTAAAATCTGCAAGAGGATATTTGGATAGCTTTGGGGATTTCATTGGAAACGGGATTTTCTTCATATAAACTCAAGACAGAAGCATTCTCAGAAGCTTCATTGGGATGTTTCAATTGAAGTCACAGTGTTGAACAGTCCCTTTCATAGAGCAGGTTTGAAACACTCTTTTTGTAGTATCTGGATGTGGACATTTGGAGCGCTTTCAGGCCTTTGGTGAAAAAGGAAATATCTTCCCCTGAAAACTAGACAGAAGCATTCTCAGAAACTTATTTGTGATGTGCGCCCTCAACTAACAGTGTTGAAGCTTTCTTTTGATAGAGCAGTTTTGAAACACTCTTTTTGTAATATCTGCAAGAGGATAATTGGATAGCTTTGAGGATTTCGTTGGAAACGGGATTAATTATAAAAAGCAGACAGCAGCATTCTCAGAAACTTATTTGTGATGTGCGCCCTCAACTAACAGTGTTGAAGCTTTCTTTTGATAGAGCAGTTTTGAAACACTCTTTTTGTAATATCTGCAAGAGGATATTTGGATAGCTTTGAGGATTTCGTTGGAAACGGGATTAATTATACAAAGCAGACAGCAGCATTCTCAGAAGCTTCATTGGGATGTTTCAATTGAAGTCACAGTGGTGAACAGTCCCTTTCATAGAGCAGGTTTGAAACACTCTTTTTGTAGTATCTGGAAGTGGACATTTGGAGAGATCTCAGGAATACGGTGATAAAGGAAATATCTTCCAATAAAAGCTAGATAGAAGCAATGTCAGAAAATTTGTCATGATGTATCTACTCAGCTAACAGAGTTGAACCTTTCTTTTGAGAGAGCAGTTTTGAAACACTCTTTTTGTGGAATCTGCAAGTGGATATTTGTCTAGCTTTGAGGATTTCGTTGGAAACGGGATTACATATAAAAAGCAGACAGCAGCATTCCCAGAAACTTCTTTGTGATGTTTGCATTCAAGTCACAGTAGTTGAACATTGCCTTTCATAGAGCAGGTTTGAAACACTCTTTTTGTAGTATCTGGATTTGGACATTTGGAGCGCTTTCAGGCCTATGGTGAAAAAGGAAATATCTTCCACTGAAAACTAGACAGAAGCATTTTCAGAATCTTATTTGTGATGTGCGCCCTCAACTAACAGTGTTGAAGCTTTCTTTTGATAGAGCAGTTTTGAAACACTCTTTTCGTAAAATCTGCAAGAGGATATTTGGATAGCTTTGAGGATTTCGTTGGAAACGGGATTGTCTTCATATAAACTCTAGACAGAAGCATTCTCAGAAGCTTCATTGGGATGTTTCAATTGAAGTCACAGTGTTGAACAGTCCCTTTCATAGAGCAGGTTTGAAACACTCTTTTTGTAGTATCTGGAAGTGGACATTTGGAGCGCTTTCAGGCCTATGGTTTAAAAGGAAATATCTTCCCCTGAAAACTAGACAGAAGCATTCTCAGAAACTTATTTGTGATGTGCGCCCTCAACTAACAGTGTTGAAGCATTCTTTTGATAGAGCAGTATTGAAACACTCTTTTTGTGGAATCTGCAAGTGGATATTTGTCTAGCTTTGAGGATTTCGTTGGAAACGGGATTACATATAAAAAGCAGACAGCAGCATTCCCAGAAACTTCTTTGTGATGTTTGCATTCAAGTCACAGAGTTGAACATTCCCTTTCATAGAGCAGGTTTGAAACACTCTTTTTGTAGTATCTGGATGTGGACATTTGGAGCGCTTTCAGGCCTATGGTGAAAAAGGAAATATCTTCCCCTGAAAACT